>NC_000023.11:75795875-76098905 GCF_000001405.40 Homo sapiens | reverse complement strand
ATATTTAAATAAAATAAAGAAGACCTAGTATTTGACAGCACAACAGGGTGACTGCAGTCAACAATAATTTATTTCCTATTTTAAAGTAACTAAAAGGGTATAATTGAAATGTTAATACACAAAGAAATGATAAATACTTGAAGTGATAGATACCCCATTTAACCTGATATGATTGTCACATATTGTATGCCTACATCAAAATATCTTATGGGCCCCATAAATACATATACTTACTATGTACTCAAAAAAATTAAAAATCTCCATATATATAACCATATAAATAGTGTGGTTCTAATCACATTAAATATATAACATTCATGTTATTATTTAGGAAAAATACTTCAAATAGTTATCTATACGTTGAGAAAATATAGATTATTTTCTTTTAGTTTTAGTGGTCTAGGTTTTTTAAGTTTTAAATGAAACTCATAAATTATTCTACAAATCACAAAAAAGTCTATTTAGAAAAATATTTATGACAAATCATTTAAAAAATAAGAGAACATTTATAGTGTGCTAAATATAAAAAGTATACAGCCCACTGTTATCTACTATGATTACAACCCTATGAAAATATATAGGTAGATATAAAAAAATTCCTGGAAAGTATACACTATGTTGAGAATTACATAAAATATTTATTAAATATCTAGAATTAGAGATATAATCATAGACATTAAGGATACAATGGTAGGCTAATTTAAGGATAAAGCATTAGGGTGATTTTAGTTTTTCAATAATTATTTGTTTTCCAAAACTTAAAAATCAGCATATATTAGTATTACAATGACAATAAAAGTAATACAATTAACTCCATTAGAAACAAGAGCAAATGATATAAGGATACAATTCAGAGAAGAAATATTAGTATCTAAAAAACCTATTAAAATTTATTCTGCCTCAGTAGCAATTAAATAATTCATGTTTAAATATATATTTAAACATAAATATATTTAAACATATATATAACATTTCTCCATATGGCTTGGCAAAATTTTTTTTTAAATATTGTGGTAAAAAACACACATAATCTCTACTCTCTTCACAAACTTTCAGGTGTACACTATTGTAAAGTGTAAACACAATATTGTACAGCAAACCTTTAGAACTTTTTTATTCTAGGAAGTTCTTTTATATTTTAGAAAGTAAAGTGGTGAAACTTTATACCCCTTGAAGAGCAGCTCCTCATTTTTCTCTCCTCCCAGTCTCTGACTAACACCATTTTACTTTCTGCTTCTATTACTTTAATTACTTTAGGTACACCATATAAGTGGAATCATGCAGTATTTATCTTTCTGTGCCTGAATTATTTTATTTAGCTTAATATGTTCCAGGTTTATTCATGTTGACAAAATAACAGAATTTCCTTCTTTTAAAGAGCTGTACACAGACAGACAGACAGATACACACACATGCACACACACAGTTATTGGGTTATAAAAGTTTCTTATGTATTCTGAAGATTAACCCATTATCAGATATATGATTTGCAAATATTTTCTCTGGTTTAAAGGTTGCCATTTCAACTTGCTGATTTTCTCTTTTGCAGTGTAGAAGCTTTTTATTTTATGCAGTCTCACTGATCTATTTTTGCTTCTCTTGCCTTTGCTTTTGGTGTCGTAGCTATGAAATAATTGCTAAGATCAATGGCATGAAGCTTTCTTCCTGTGTTTTCTTCTAAGAGTTTTATAGTTTTGGGTCTTATGTTTAAATTTTTAATCCATTTTGAATTGATTTGTGTGTGTGGTACTAGGGTATAATTTCATTTTTTTTTTTGCATTTAGAAATCAAGTTTTCCCAGTTCCATTTGTAGAAAAAGCTAGCTTTTTCTTCCTATTGTGTATAACTAGCACCCTTGTCAAAGATCAGCTGACCATATGTATGCATTGATTTGTTTCTGGGCTTTCTGTTCTATTCCGTTGATTCATGTGTCCATTTTTATGCCAGTACTGCAATGTTTTGATTACTGTAGTTTTGTAATATGTGTTGAAATTAGGAATTGTGAGGCTTCCAAGTTTGTTCTTTCTTAAGGGTCTTTTGGCTCTTCACTCTTTTGTGGTTTTATATAAATTTTAAGATTTTTGTGTGTGTGTGCAAAACATGTCTTTGGGATTTTGATATGGATTTGACAAAATTTAACAGTTTTTATGATAGAAACATTCAACAGACTAAAAATAGAAGGAAATTACTTCAACACCATAAAAGCCAAATAGGAAAAGCTTACAACTAACACACTGAATGATGAAGCTGAAATTTTTCCTGTAAGATCAGGAGTAAGGTAAGGATGTTCACTCTAGCCACTTCTGTTTACATGGTACTGGTTTTCCTAGCTAGAGCAAATAGGCAAGAAAGAAAGAAAGAATTGCAATCAAATCATATAGAAAAAGTAATATTATCTCTGTTCACAAATTACATAATCTTATGTAGAAAACACTAAAGATGCTACCCTAAAAACTATTAGAACTAATAAATGAATTTGGCAGTGTTGTACGATAGAAAACGAACATAAAAAAATTAGCTGCATTTCTATGCACTAACAAGGAACAATCTGAAAAAGAAATTAAGAAAACAATTCTATTTAAAATAACAGAAAAGGGGGGATCTGGCAAGATGGCCAAATAGGAACTACTCCAATCTGCAACTCCCAGTGAGACCAACACAGAAGGTACATGATTTCTGCATTTCCAATTGAGGTACCCAGCTCATCTCTTTGGGACTGATTAGACAGTGGGTGCAGCCCATGGAGGGTAAGCAGAAGCAGGATGGGGTGTCGCCTCACCCAGGAAGTGCAAGGGGTCAGGAAACTCCCTCCCCTACCCAAGGGAAGCCATGAGGGACTGTGCTGTGAGGCACGGTTATATCTGGCCCAGATACTACACATTTCCCATGGTTTTTCAACCTGCAGACCAGGAGATTCCCCCGGATGTCTACACCACCAAGTCCCTGGGTTTCAGGAACAAAACTGGGCAGCCATTTGGGCAGACCCTGAGCTAGCTGCAGAAATTTTTTTTCATACCACAGTGGGGCCTGGAACACCAGCAAGACAGAACAGTTCACTCTCCTCGAAAGGGGGCTGAAGCCAGGGAGCCAAGTGGCCTAGCTTAGTGGGTCCCACCCACAAAAAGCCCAGCAAGCTAAGATCCACTGGCTTGAAATTCTCGCTGCCAGCACGGCAGTCTGAAGTAAACATGGTATGCTTCAGCTTGGTGAGGGGAGGGGCATATGCCATTACTGAGGCTTGACTAGGCAGTTTTCCCCTCACAGTGTAAACAAAGCTGCCAGGAAGTTCGGATTGGGCAGAACCCACTCCAGCCTGGCAAAGCCACTGTAGTGAGACTGCCTTTCTAGATTTCTCCTATCTGGTCAGAGCATTTCTGAAAGAAAGGCAGCAGCCCCAGTCAGGGGTTTATAGATAAAACTCCCATCTCCCTAGGAGAGAGCACCTGGGGGAAAGGGTGGCTGATGGGCACAGCTTCAGCAGACTTAAACATCCCTTCCTGCCAGCTCTGAAGAGAGCAGTGAATCTCCCAGCACAGTGCTCGAGCTCTGCTAAGGGAAAGACTGCCTCCTCAAGTGAGTCCCTGACCCCATGCCTCCTGACTGGGAGACATTTCCCAGCAGAGGTTGACAGACACTTCAAACTGGAGAGCTCTGGCTGGCATCAGGTGGGTGCCATCCTGGGATGAAGCTTCCATAGAAAGGAGCAGGCAGCAATCTTTGCTGTTCTGCAGACTCTGCTGGTGATACCTAGGCAAACAGGGTCTAGAGTGGACCTCGAGCAAGTTCCAGCAGACGTGCAGAAGAAGGGCCTGACTGTTAGAAGGAAAACTAACAAACAGAAAGCAATAACATCAACATCAACAAAAAGGACGCACACACAAAAACCCAATCCAAAGGTTTTCAGCATCAAAGATCAAAGGTAGATAAATCCATGAAGATGAGGAAAAACCACCACAAAAATGCTGAAAATTCCAAAAACCAGAATGCCCCTGCTTCAAAGTATTACAACTCCTCTCCAGCAAGGGAACTAAACTGGATGGAGAATGAATGAGATTGATGAATTGACAGAAGTACGCCTCAGAAGGTGCATAATAACAAACTCCTCTGAGCTAGAGGAGCATGCTGTAACCCAATGCAAGGAAGCTAAGAACCTTGATAAAAGGTTACAGGAACAGTTAACTAGAATAACCAGTTTAGAGAAGAACTTAAATGGCCTGATGGAGCTGAAAAACACAGCACGAGAACTTTGTGAAGCATACACAGGTATCAGTAGCTGAATCAATCAAGTGGAAGAAAAGATATTAGAGATTAAAGATCAACTAAATGAAATAAAGCATAAAGACAAGATCAGAAGAAAAAGAAAGAAAACGAAGGAATAAAGCCTCCAAGAAATGTGGGACTATGTGAAAAGACCAAATCTATGATTGATTGGTGTACCTGAAAGTGACAGGGAGAATAGAACCAAGTTGGAAGACACAATTTAGGATATTATCCAAGAGAGCTTCCCCAATTTAGCAAGATAGGTCAACATTCAAATTCAAGAAATACAGAGAACACCACTAAGCTACTCCTTGAGAAAAGCAACCCCAGGACACATAATTGTCAGATTCACTGAGACTGAAATGAAGGAAAAAATGTTTAGGGCAACCAGAGAGAAAGGTCAGGGTACTCACAAAGGAAAGCCCATCAGACTAACAGCGGATCTCTTGGCAGAAACCCTACAAGCCAGAAGAGAGTGGGAACCAATATTCAACATTCTTAAAGAAAAGAATTTTCAACCCAGAATTTCATATCCAGCCAACTAAGCTTCATAAGTGAAGGAGAAATAAAATCCTTTACAGAAAAGCAAATGCTGAGGGATTTTTGTCACCACCAGGCCTGCCTTAAAAGAGATCCTGAAGGAAGCACTAAATATGGAAAGGAAAATTTGTTACCCACCACTGCAAAAACATACCAAAATAAGAACCAACGACACTGAAGAAACTGCATCAACTAATGTGCAAAATAACCAGCTAGCATCATGGTGACAGGATCAAATTCACACATAACACTATTAATTTTAAATGCAAATGGGCTAAATGCCCCAATGAAAAGACACAGCCTGGCAAATTAGATAAAGAGTGAAGACCCATCAGTGTGCTGTATTCAGGAGAACCATCTCACGTGCAAAGATGCACATAGGCTCAAAATAAAGGGATGCAGGAATGTTTACCAAGCAAATGGACAGAAAAAAAAAGGCAGGGGTTGCAATCCTAGTCTCTGATAAAACAGACTTTAAACTAACAAAGATCAAAACAAAAAAGACAAAGAAGGGCATTACATAATCTTAAAGGGAACAATGCAACAAGAAGAGCTAAATATCCTAAATATATATGCACCCAATACAGGATCACCCATATTCTTTTATTTTTTATTTTATTATTATTATTATTATTATTATTATTATTATTATTATTATTATTATTATTTGAGATGGAGTTTCACTCTGTTGGCCAGGCTGGAGTGCAGTGGCACGGTCTCGGCTCACTGCAACCTCCACCTCCGAGGTTCAAGCAATTCTCCTGTCTCAGTTTGCTGAGTTGCTGGGACTACAGGTACCTGCCACCATGCCTGGCTAATTTTTGTGTTTTTAATAGAGACGGGGCCGGGCGCGGTGGCTCACGCCTGTAATCCCAGCACTTTGGGAGGCCGAGGCGGGTGGATCATGAGGTCAGGAGATCGAGACCATCCTGGCTAACAAGGTGAAACCCCGTCTCTACTAAAAATACAAAAAATTAGCCGGGCGCGGTGGCGGGCGCCTGTAGTCCCAGCTACTCGGGAGGCTGAGGCAGGAGAATGGCGTGAACCCGGGAAGCGGAGCTTGCAGTGAGCCGAGATTGTGCCACTGCAGTCCGCAGTCCGGCCTGGGCGACAGAGCGAGACTCCGTCTCAAAAAAAAAAAAAAAAAAAAAAAATAGAGACGGGGTTTCACTATATTGTTCAGGCTGGTTTTGAACTCCTGATCTCATGTGATCTGCCCACCTTGGCCTCCCAAAGTGCTGGGATTACAAGCATGAGTGACTGCGCCCAGCCAGGAGCACCCATATTCTTAAAGCAAGTTCTTAGAGACCTACAAAAAGACTTAGACTCCCACACTATAGTAGTGAGGGATATTAACACCCCACTGTCAATATTATACAGATCAACGAGAGAGAAAATTAAAAAAGATATTCAGGACTTGAACTCAGCTCTGGATGAAATGGAGCTAATATACATCTACAGAACTCTCCACCCCAAATCAACAGAATATACATTCTTCTCAACACCTCACCGCACTTATTCTAAAATTGACCACATAATAGGAAGCAAAACACACCCCAGCAAATGCAAAAGAACAGAAATCATAACCAACAGTCTCTCAGACCACAGTGCGATCAAATCAGAAATCAGGTTTAAAAAACTCACTCAAAACCACACAACTACATGTAAACTGAACTACTTGCTCCTGAATGACTACTGGGTAAATAACGAAATTAAGACAGAATTAATTAAGTTCTTTGAAACCAATGGGAAAAAGACACAACATACCCGAATATCTGGGACCTGGCTAAAGCAGTGTTTAGAGAGAAATTTACAGCACTAAGTGCCCATATCAGAAAGCGGGAAAGATCTAAAATTGACACCCTAACATCACAATTAAAAGAACTAGAGAAGCAAGTGCAAACAAATTCAAAAGCTAGCATTAGGACAAAAAATAACTAAGATCAGAGTAGAACTGAAGGAGATAGAGACACGAAAAACTCTTCAAAAAATCAATGAATCCAGGAACTGGTTTTTTGAAAAGACTAACAAAATAGACTGTTAGCCAGACTAATAGAGAAGAAAATGGAGAAGAATCAAATACACCTCTCTGCAAATAAACTAGAAAATCTAGAAGACATGGAGAAATTCCTAGACATACCCCCTCCACAGACTAAACCAATGAGAAGTCAAATCCCTGAAGAGTCCAATTACAAGTTCTGAAATTGAGACAGTGATTAATAGCCTAACAAACAAAAAAAGCCTAGGACTAGACGGATTCACAGCCAAATTCTGCCAGAGGAACAAAGAGGAATTTCCTTCTGAAACTATTCTAAGCAATAGAAAAAGAGAGAAACCTCCCTAACTGATTTTATGAAGCCAGCATCATCCTGATACCAAAACCTGGCAGAGACACAGTGAAAAAAACAATTTCAGGCCAATAGCCCTGATGAACATTGATGTGAAAATCCTCAGTAAAATGCTGGCCAACTAATCCAGCAGCACATCAAAAAGCTGATCCACCACGATCAAGTCGGCTTCATCCCTGGGATGCAAGGCTGGGTCAACATACAGAAATTAATAAATGTAATCCATCACATAAAAATAACCAATGACAAAAACCACATGATTATATCAATAGATGCAGAAAAGGCCTTCAAAACAATTCAACACCCCTTCATACTAAAAACACTCAATAAACTAGGTATTGATAGAACATATCTCAAAATAAAAAGAGCTATTTATGACAAACCCACAGCCAGTATCATACTGAATTGGCAAAAGCTGGAAACATTCCCTTTGAAAACTGACAGAAGACAAGGATGTCTTCTCACCACTCCTATTCAACATAGTATTGGAAGTTCTGGCCAGGGCAATCAGGCAAGAGAAAGAAATAAAGCATATTCTAATAGGAAGAGAGGAAGTCAAATTGTCTCTGCTTGCAGATGACATGATTATATATTTAGAAAACCCCATCATCTCAGCCCCAAATCTCCTTAAGCTAGTAAGCAACTTCAGCAAAGTCTCAGGATACAAAATTAACGTGCAAAAATCACAAGCGTTCCTATCCACCAGTAACAGACAAACAGAGAGCCAAATCATGAGTCAACTGCCATTCACAATTGCTACAAAGAGAATAAAATACCTAGGAATACAACTTACAAGGAGTGTGAAGGACCGCTTCAAAGAGCACTACAAACCACTGCTGAACGAAATAAAAGAGGACACAAAGAAATGGAAAAACCTTCAATGCTCGTGGATATGAAGAATCAATATTGTGAAAATGACCTTAGTGCCCAAAGTAATTTATAGATTTAATGCCATTCTCATCAAGCTACCATTGAATTTTTTCACAGAATTAGAAAAACCTACTTTAAATTTCATATGGAACCAAAAAGGAGCCTGTATAGCCAAGACAATCTTAAGCAAAAAGAACGAAGCTGGAGGTATCATGCTACGTGGCTTCAAACTATACTACAAGGCTACAGTAACCAAAATAGCATGGTACTGGTACCAAAACTGATATATAGACCAATGGAACAGAACAGAGGCCTGACAAAAAACACTACACATCTACAACCATCAGATCTTTGACAAACCTGACAAAACAAGCAATGGGGAAAGGATTCACTGTTTAATTAATTGTGTTGGGAAAACTGGATAGCCATATGCAGAAAACTGAAACTGGACCCCTTCCTTACACCTTATATAAAAATTAACTCAAGATGGATTAAAGACTAAAATGTAAGACCTAAAACCATAAAAACCCTAGAAGAAAACCTAGCAAATACCATTCAGGTCATAGGCATCAGCTAAGACTTCACGACTAAAACACCAAAAGCAATGGCAACAAAAGCCAAAATTGACAAATGGGATCTAATTAAACTAAAGAGCTTCTGCACAGCAAAAGAAACTAGCATCAGAGTGAGCAGACAACCTACAGAATGGGAGAAAATTTTTACAATCAATTCATTTGACAAAGGGCTAATATCCAGAATCTGCAAGGAACTTAAACAAATTTACAAGACAAAACCAAACAATCCCATCGAAAAGTGGGCAAAGGATATGAACTCTTCTCAAAAGAAGACATTTATGTGACCAACAAAAATGAAAAAAGCTCATCATCACTTATCATTATAAAAATGCAAATCAAAACCACAATGTGATACCATCTCATGCCAGTTAGAATGGCAATCATTAAAAAGTCCAGAAACAACAGATGCTGGAGAGGATGTGGAGAAATAGGAATGCTTTTCCACTGTTGGTTGGAGTGTAAATTAGTTCAACCATTGTGGAAGACATTGTGGTGATTCCTCAAGGCTCTAGAACCCGAAGTACCATTTGACCCAGCAATTCCATTACTGGGTATACACTCAAAGGATTATGAATTATTTTACTATAAATACATATGCACACGTATGTTTATTGCAACACTATTTACAATGGCAAAGACTTGGAACCAACCCAAATGCCCATCAATGATAGACTGGATAGATAAACTGTGGCACATATACACCATGGAAAACTATGCAGCCATAAAAAAGAATGAGTTTGTGTCCTTTGCAGGAACATGGGTGAAGCTGGAAACCATCATTCTCAGCAAACTAACACAGGAACAGAAACCAAACACCGCATGTTCTCACTCATAAGTGAGAGTTGAACAATGAACACACATGGACACAGGGAGGGGAAGATCACACACTGGGGCCCATCGGGGGGTGAGGGGCAAGGGGAAGGATAACATTAGGGGAATTAGCTATTGTAGATGACAGGTTGATTGGTGCAGCAAACCAGCATGTCACATATATACCTATGTAACATACCTGCACATTCTGCACATGTGTCCCAGAACTTAAAGTAGAATTTGAAAAAATTTTAAAAAATAAAACAACACAAAAAAGAATAAAATAGAATTAAACTTAACCAATTATGCAGAGGATTTTCACACTGAAAATGACAAAGCATTGCCAAAATAAATGAAAGATGTCACAAATGGAAGACTACCCAATGTTCATGAATTGGAAGATTTATGATGGTTAAAATTTCCTTATTATCCAAAGTGATTGGCAACAGATTTAAAAAGAAACAATTAAAGGAAGACAGCTCACAATATTAGAGCGGCTACAGAACAGGACTATTGCTCAACCTGCTCTAAATTTAGATTTTTTTCTAGCCCAATGGGCAGAAGAAGAGCAGATTGTACCACTTCCATGGGATAATACCATCCCCAATTGGCTACTCTGACAAGAATTAGATCAAATCTAAAAAGACAATGTCTTCAAGATGATTTTTGTACCTTTGTACCATAAAAGCATATGCTGAGGAACCTAAGCAGGATGAATGAAAGGGAGGAAAACTGTGATATTGTTATTCATTTTGTTGATTTTTATAGCCTTCCTGGAACCTCAGGTGTAATGCCTGCAAGGCATTTATTTAACTGGTAATAATTGAGCACACATGACATATTATGTTTCAGGCACTGTTCTTAGTGCAGGAAAGAAAGTCATGAACATGATAGGCAAGGTACAATTTTCAAAGTATTTCAATTCTGTTTGGGCTGTGGAGCATTAAAAATCATTTCAAATAATAAGCGCTCAAGAAAAAGAAAATAAGGTAGCATGATGATGGAGCATTTTACCTTTGCTGAGGTGGTGATATTTAAACTGAGACCTGAATGACAGAGAAGAGAAAACATTGCAAAGATCTAAGGGCCAATGTTTCTAGTCAGATAGTATATAGCATTTGCAAAGCTCCTGCAATGGGAGAAAGCCTACATACTCCCAAGAAACAGAAAAAACTCATAGTACCAAAAGCATTTTGACCTAAAGGACTAAGTAGCAGGAGGTGAAGGTACAGATATAGTCAGTATCCAGAATACATAAGACAAAACAAATTGGTTAAATGTTTGTTTTAAAGCACTTGAAGTGTTTTATGTCAAAGAGGATCATGATCCAGTTTATGTGTTTTAAAAGATCACTATTGCTGCAGTATAAAATAATTTAGAAAGCTGGGGATTGACAAAATTGGGAACATCGAGCTCATTTAGGAGGCTGTTTCTGATGGTCTATCTAATAGTGCCTTAGGCCACTGTGGTGGTAGCAATGGACCTGGGGAAAATTGAATGGCTCTAGAGTTGCAGGTTGGTGCAAAAGTAATTGTGGTTTTGGACAGTGAATTATTATTATAACTAGGCTCAAACATATCTTTATTAATAAAAATAGAAACCCATCACAATCAACACATTTTTGCCAATGAGAAATAAGTTTGTTTATTCCTGTAGCATAAAAGTCCATGCTTTGGGATTCAAAGAACTCTTGGAAAGTATTTTCTGCATCCTGCTCGTTGTGGAAGCATTTTCCCTGCAAAAAGTTGTCGAGATGATTGAAGAAGTGTTAGTTGGTTGTGAAGAAGTCAGGTGAATATGGCGAAAGAGGCAAAACTTTGTAGCTGAATCCATTTTACTTTGGAAGTATTGGTTGTGCGATGTGTGGTTGGGCATTGTTGTGGGGGAATAATTGGGCCCTTTCTGTTGGCCAATGCTGGCTGCAGGTGTTGCAATTTTTGGTGCATCTCATTGATTTGATTTTCTGAGCATACTTCTCAGATGTGATGGTTTTGCCAGGATTCAGAAACCTGTAGTGGATCACACCAGCAGCAGACCACTAAACAGTGACCATGCCTTTTATTTTGGTGCAAGTTTGGCTTTAGGAGATGCTTTGGAGCTTCTTCTCAGTCCAACCACTGAGCTGGTCGTCTCTGGTTGTCATATAAAATCCACTTTTCTTCACATGTCACAATCCAATTGAGGTCTTTATATTCTAAACATGCTCTTCCACCAGTCTTGCCCATGTCAGTCAATTGTATTACCCTTCACCTAGCCACTCAATCAAAACACCTGAGAATTATCCTACATTTCTATATTTCCTCCATCCTAAACCTTGAATCTATCAGAAAGTTGCTGTTGCATAGAATAAGAGAAGACGACTCTTCAAAATGATTTTTAAAAAATTTTCACTCAGTTCATGAGGCACCCCCTTATCAAACTTTTTCACCTTTCCAATTTGCTTCAAATGCTGAATGACCATAGAATGGACGACGTTGAGTTCTCCAGCAACTTCTTGTGTAGTTGTAAGAGCATTAGCTTCAATGATTGCTCTCAATTGCTCATTGTCAACTTCTGATGGCCAGCCACTATTTTCCTCATGTTCAAGGCTCTCATCTCCTTTGCAAAATTCTTGAACCATCACTGCACTGTGTGTTCATTAGCAATTCCTGGGCCAAATGTGTTGCTGACATTGCGAGTTGTCTCTGCTGCTTTATGGCCCATTTGGAAGACGAATAAGAAAATTGCAGAAATTTGCTTTCTGTTTAACATTATTTCCATAGTCTAAAATAAACATAAAATAAATAGCAAGTAATAAGTCATTAGCAAAAAAACATAAGGCGAGAATTGCCCATTAAAATGATGTAGAACATAACCACATTTATTTGAGAATGTATTCCAATATCAAATGGCAAATTCTAACAATGCCAAAATCGCAATTAAATTTGCAACAACATAATACTTTTGACAGATAACTAAAAATCTATCAGAAGAAAGAAATAACTAAGATCATAGCAGAACTGAAGGAGATAGAGACATGAAAAACCCTTCAAAAAATCAATGAATCCAGGAGCTGGTTTTTTGAAAAGATCAACAAAATAGACCGCAAGATAGGCTAATAAACAAGAAAAGAGAGAAGAATCAAATAGATGCAATAAAAATGATATAGGGGATATCACCACTGATCCCACAGAAATAAAACTACCATCAGATATTCTATAAACACTTCTATGCAAATAAACTAGAAAATCTAGAAGAAATGGATAAATTCCTGGACACATACACCCTCTCAAGTCTAAACAAGGAAGAAGTCGAATCCCTGAATAAACCAATAACAAGTTCTGAAATTGAGGCAGTAATTAATAGCCTACCAACAACAATAATAAAAGGCCAGGACCAGAAGGATTCACAGTCGAATTCTACCAGAGGTACAAAGAGGAGCTGGTACCATTCCTTCTGAAACTATTCCAAACAATAGAACAAGAGGAACTCCTCCCTAACTCATTCGATGAGGCCAACATCATTCTGATACCAAAAACTGGCAGAGACACAATAAAAAAAGAAAATTTCAGGCCAATATCCCTGATGAACATCGATGCAAAAATCCTCAATAAAATACTGGCAAACTGAATCCAGCAGCACATCAAAAAGCTTATCCATCACGATCAAGTTGGCTTCAACCCTGGGATGCAAGGCTGGTTCAACATAGGCAAATCAATAAACATAATCCATCAAATAAACAGAACCAATCATAAAAACCACAGGATTATTTTAATAGATGAAGAAAAGGCTTTCAACAGAATTCAACACCACTTCTTGCTAAAATCTCTAAATAAACTGGGTATCAATGGAATGTATCTCAAAATAAAAAGAGCTATTTATGACAAACCCTCAGCCAATATCATACTGAACGAGCAAAAACAAGTAGCATTCCCTTTGAAAACTGGCAGAAGACGAGGATGCCCTCTCTCACCACTCCTATTCAACATAGTATTGGAAGTTCTGGCCAGGGCGATCAGGCAAGAGAAAAAATAAAGTGTATTCAAATAGGAAGAGAGGAAGTCAAATTGTCTCTGTTTGCAGATGACATAATTATATATTTAGAAAACCCCATCATCTCAGCCCCAAATCTCCTTAAGCTAATAAGCAACTTCAGCAAAGTCTCAAGATACAAAATTAACGTGCAAAAATCATAAGCATTCCTATATTCCTATACACCAATAACAGACAAACAGAGAGCCAAATCACGAGTGAACTCCCATTCTCAATTGCTACAAAGAGAATAAAATACCTAGGATTACAACTTACAGGGGATGTGACGGACCTCTTCAAGGAGATCTACAAACCACTGCTCAAGAAAGTAAGAGAAGACACAAACAAATGGAAAAATATTCCATGCTCATGGATAAGAAGATTCAATATCGTGAAAATGTCCATACAGCCCAAAGTAATTTATCAATGCAATGCTATCCCCATCAAGCTACCACTGACTTTCTTCACAGAATTGGAGAAAAAACTACTTTAAGCTTCTTATGGAACCAAAAAAGAGCCCACATAGCCAACACAATTCTGGGCAAGAAGAACAAAGCTGGAGGCATCATGCTACCTGACTTCAAACTATGCTACAAGGCTACAGTAACCAAAACAGCATGGTACTGGTACTAAAACAGATATATAGACCAATGGAACAGAAGAGAGTCCTCAGAAATAACACCACACATCTACAACCATCTGACCTTTGACAAACCTGACACAAACAAGCAACGGGGAAAGGATTCCCTATTTAATAAATGTTGTTGGGAAAACTCATTAGCCAAATGCAGAAAACTGAAACTGGACCCCTTCTTCATACAAAATCAACTCAAATCGATCAAATACTTAAACTTAAGACCTAGGACCATAAAAATCCTAGAAGAAAACCTGGGCAATACCATTCAGGACATAGGCATGGGCAAGACTTCATGTCTAAAACACGAAAAGCAATGGCAAAAAAAGTAAAAATTGACAAATGGGATCTAATTAAACTAAAGAGCTTCTGCACAGCAAAAGAAACTATCGCCACAGTGTGGCAATTTCTCAAAGATCTAGAACTAGAAATACCATTTGATCCAGCAATCCCATTCCTGGGTATATACACAAATGATTGTAAATCATTCTACTATAAAGACACATGCACACCTATGTTTATTGTGGCACTATTCACAAAAACAAAGACTTGTCCATCAATAATAGACTGGATAAAGAAAATGTTGTACATATACACCATGGAATACTATGCAGCCTTAAAAAAGGATGAGTGCATGTCCTTTGCAGGGGCATAGATGAAGCTGGAAACCATCATTCTCAGCAAACTAACACAAGAACAGAAAATCAAACACTGCATGTTTACACTAATAAGTGGGAGTTGAACAATGAGAATACATGGAGATAGGGAGGGGAACATCACACATTCGGGTCTGTCTGGAGCTGGGCGGCTAGGGGAGGGATAGCATCAGGAGAAATACCTAATGTAGGTGACTGGTTGATGGGTGCAGTAAACCACCATGGCACCTGTATACCTAAGTAACAAAACTCCACGTTTTGCACATGTACCCCAGAACTTAAAGTATAATCTAAAAAAGATGAAAAAAGAAAAAAAAAACAACTAAACTTTCTGATAGATTCAAGGTTTAGGATGAAGCAAAATTAGAAATGTAGAATAGTTCTCAGGTGTTTTGATAGAGTGGCTAGGGGCAGGGTGATTCAACTGACTGACATGGCCAAGAATGGTGGAGGAGCATATTTAGAATGTAAAGTTAGTTATAAACTAGAAGAATCACTTTACTTCACTTCACTTCACTTCAAATTGTACTACAGAGCTATAGTAACCAAAACAGCATGGCACTGGAATTAAAACAGACACATAGACCAATGGAACCACATAGAGAGCTCAAAACTAAATTCATACACTTACAGTGAACTCATTTTCAACAGAGGTACCAAGAATATACATTGGAGAAAGGACAGTCTCTTCAATAAATTGTGCTAGGAAAACTGGATATCCATATGCAGAAGATTAAAACTTGACCATTGTCTCTCACTGTATACAAAAATCAAATTGGATTAAAAACTTAAATCTAAAACCTCATACTATAAAACCACAACAAGAAAACGTTGAGTTTTTGGTTGCCCGTAAGCACAGGAAACCAAAGAAAAAAATGGACAAATGGGATCACATCAAGTTAAAGGCTTCTGCACAGCAAATGATATCATCAACAAAGAAACAACCCACAGAATGAGAGAAAACAGAAGACTAATAAGCAGAATATATAAGGAGCTCAAACAACTCCATAGGAAAAAATCTAATAATCCAATAAAAAATGGACAAAATCTTTGAATAGATATTTCTCAAGAGAAGACACACAAATGGCAAACAAGTGTATGAAAAGGTGCTCAACATCATTGATTATCAGAGAAATGCATATCAAAACTTCAATGTGATAACATCTTACCCCAGTTAAAATGGCTTTTATCCAAAAGACAGGTAATAACAAATGCTAGTAAAGGATGTGGAGAAAAGTGAACACTTGTACACTGTTGGTAGGAATATAAATTAGTACAACTGCTATGGAGAACAGTTTGGAGGTTCCTCAGAAAACTAAAAGCAGAGCTACTATATAGTCCAGCAATTATACTGCTAAGAATATACCCAAAAGGAAGAAAATCAGTATATCCTATGTTGCTATGAAAAGGAATGAGATTATGTCTTTTGCAGGGACATGGATGAAGCTGGAAGGCATCATTCTCAGCAAAGTAACACAGGAACAGAATACCAAACACCATACGTTTCTCACCTATAAGTGGGAGCTGAACAATGAGAACACATGGACACAGAAAAGGGACCAATTCACACCAGGACCTTTTGAGAAATGTGAGGGGAGGGAGAATACCAGTACAAATAGCTAATGCATGTTGAGGTTTAATACCTAGGTGACAGGTTGATACAAACCACCATGGCACATGTTTTCTTTTTTAATTTTTTAAGTTATACTTTAAGCTTGGATACATGTGCAGAACGTGCAGGTATGTTACATAGGTATACATGAGCCATGGTGGTTTGCTACACCCATAAACCCATCATCTGTATTAGGCATTTCTCCTAATACTATCCCTCTCCTAGCCCCCGACCCCCGACAGGCCCCGGTGTGTGATGTTCCTCTCTCTGTGTGCATGGGTTCTCATGGTTCAATTCCCACTTATGAGTGAAAACATGCGGTGTTTGGTTTTCTGTTCTTGTGTTAGTTTGCTGAGAATAATGGTTTTCAGCTTCATCCACATGTATGTTTTCTTTTCAAAAATGTCTGCTTATGTTCTTTTCCCACTTTTTAATGGGGTTGTTTCTTTTTCTTGTAAATTTGCTTAAGTTTCTTATAGATGTTGGATATTAGACCTCTGTCAGATGCATAGTTTGAAAATAGGTTCTCCCATTTTGTAGGCTGTTTACTCTGTTTATAATTATTTTTTGCTGTGTAGAAGCCTTTAGTTTAATTCAATAGGTTTGTCAATTTTTGCTTTTGTTACAATTGCTTTTGGCATCTTCCTCATGAATCTTCGCCCAATCCTATGTTCAAAATGTTATTGCCTAGGTCGTAGTCCAGAGTTTTTATAGCTCTAGGTTTTACCTTTAAGTTTTCAATTCATCTTGAGTTAACTTTTGTAAATGGTATAAGAGGGGTGTTCAGTTTTAATCTTTTGCATATGACTAGCCAGTTATCTAAGAATCATTTATTGAATAGAGTCCTTTCCCATTGCTAGTTTTTGTCAGCTTTGTCAAAGACTACATGGTTGTAGATGTGTGGCCTTATGTCTGGGCTTTTTATTCTATTCTATTGGTCTATATGTCTCTTTTTGTACCAGTACCATGCTGTAGCCCTGCAGTATAGTTTGAAGTCGGGTAACATGATGCCTTCAACTTTATGTCTTTTGCTTAGAATTGCCTTGGCTGTTAGAGCTCCTTTTTGGTTCCATATGAATTTGAAAATAGATTTTTCTTGTTCTGGGAAGAATGTCATTAGTAATGTGATTGGAATAGCATTTTATCTGTAGATTGCTTTGGGCAGTGTTGCCACTTTAACAATATTGATTCTTCCTATCCATCAGCATGGAATGTTTTTCATTTTTTAGTGTCACCTCTAATTTCTTTGAGCAGTGTTTTGTAATTCTCATTGTAGAGATATTTCACCTCCCTGGCAAGCTGTATTCCTAGATATATTATTTTTTTGTGTGTGACAACTGTGAATGGGATTGCATTCCTGATTTGGCTCTTGGCCTGAATGTTGTTGGTGTATCAAAATGCTAATATTTTTGTACATTGTTGTTTTATCTTGAAACTTTTCTGAGGTTGTTTATCACCTGAAAGAGCTTTTGGGCCAAGACTCTCTGGTTTTCTAGATATAGAGTCATCTCGGGTTCAGTGGCTCATGCCTGTAATCCCGGAATTTGGGGAGGCCAAGGCAAGCTGATTTCTTGAGGTCAGGAGTTTGAGACCAGCCTGACCAATATGGTGAAATCCTGTCTCTACTAAAAATACAAAAAATAGCCAGGCGTGATTGTGCATGCCAGCTAGTTGGGAGGGTGAGGCATGGGAATCACTTGAATCTGGGAGGTGGAGGTTGCAGCGAGTCAAAATCACGTCACTGCAATTCAGCCTGGGTGACAGAGCAAGACTCTGTCTAAAAAAAATCGTCTTTTATACAAACAGGGATATGGGGATGGTTGGACTTTTTCTCTGCTTATTTGGATGAGCTTTATTTTTTCTCTTGTCTGATTGCTCTGGCCAGGACTTCTAATACAATGTTGAATAGGAGTGGTGACAGAGGGCATCTTTGTCTTGTGCCAGTTTTCAAGGGGAATGCTTTCAGCTTTTGACCATTCAGTATAATATTGACTGTGGGTTTGTCATAGGTGGCTCTTATTATTTCGATGTGTATTCCTTCAATGTGTCTTCCTTCCTTTCGATGTGTATTCCTAGTTTCTTTAAAGTTTTTAACATGAGGGGATGTTAAACTTTATCAAAAGCCTTTTCTGTATCTATTGAGATACTCATGTGGTTTTTGTTTTTAGTTCTGTTTATGTGATGAATCACCCTTATTGATTTTCATATATTGAACCAAACTTGCATCCTGGGGATGGAGACTACTCGATCATTGGGCATTTGCTTTTTGATATGCTGCTGGTTTCAGTTTGCCAGTATTTTGTTGAGAATTTCTGCATCAATGTTCATCAAGGTTATTGGCCTGAAGTGTTCTTTTTTTGTTGTGCCTCTGCCAGGTTTTGGTATTAAGATGATGCTGGCCTCATAGAATAAGTTAAGGTGGAGCCTCACTTTCTTAATTTATTGGAATAGTTTTAATGGGACTAGTACCAGATCTTCCTTGTAAATCTGGTAGATTCAGCTGTAAATCCATCTGGTTCTGGTTCTGGGCTTTTTTTTTTCTATGCTATTTATTACTGGTTCATCTCATTATTGGTCTTTTCAGGGAATCAATTTCTTCCTTGTTCAGTCTTGGGAGGGTATATGCATACAGGAGCTTATCCATCTCTTCTAGATTTTCTAGTTTATGTGCATAGAAGTGTTCATAATATTCTTTGATGGTTATTTGTATTTCTGTGGGGTCAGTGGTAACATCTTTGTCATTTTTAATTGTGTTTGTTCAGATCTTCTCTTTTTCTGTTTATTAGTCTAGTTAATGGCCTGTCTTGTTAATTTTTTCAATAAACCAACTCCTGAATTTGTTGTTTCTTTGAATTTTCTTTGTGTCTCAATTTCTTTCAGTTCATCTCTGATTTTTTTTTTTCTAGACTTCTGTTAGCTTTGGAGTTGATTTTTCCAAGGTTCTCTGATTCTTTGTGTTTGTTTGTTTCTTCAACTTTTATTTGAAGTTCAGGGGTACATGTGCCACATCTGCAGGTTTGCTGCATAGACAAACATGTGCCATGGTGGTTTGCTGCACAGGTCATCCTATCACCTAGGTATTAAGCAAAGCATCCATTAGCTATTCTTTCTGATATTCTCCCTCCTCCCATTACAGAACCCAGTATGTGTTGTTTTCCTCCTTGTGTCTGTGTGTTCTCATCATTCAGCTCACACTTATAAGTGAGAATATGCACTGTTTGGTTTTCTGTTCCTGGGTTAGCTTGCTGAGGAAAGTGGCTTCCAACTTCATCCATGTCCCTGCAAAGGACATGATCTAATTCCTTTTTATCAACGCATTGTGTTCCATGGTGTATATATACCACATTTTCGTTATCCAGTCTATCATTGATGGGCAGTGGGATTGATTCCATGTTTTTGCTATTGTGAATAGTGCTGCAATGAACATACGCATGCATGTATCGTTATAATAGAATAACATATTCCGTTGAGTATATAAAAAGTAATGGAATTTTTAAGTCAAATGGTATTTCTGCCTCTAGGTCTTTGAGGAATTGTTACACTGCTTTCTACAATGGCTGAAATAATTTACACTCCCACCAACAGTATAAAAGCATTTCTTTTTCTCTGCAACTTGGCCAGCATCTGTTGTTTTTTGACTTTTTAATAATAGCCATTCTGACTAGCATGAGATGGTATCTCATTGTGGTTTTAATTTGCATTTCTCAAACGATAAGTGATATTGAGCTGGTAATCTAGTTCTTTAGTTGTGTTGTTAGGTTGTTAAATTGAGATATTACTAACTTTTTGATGTGGGCATTTATTGCTACACATTTCCCTCTTATTCCTGCCTTAGCTGTGTCGCAGAGATGATGGTATGTTGTATCTTTGTTCTCATTAGTTTCCAAAGACTTCTTGATTCCTCCCTTAATTTCATTATTTACCCGAAAGTTATTCAGGAGCAGGTTATTCAATTTCCATGTAATTGCATAATTTTGAAATATTTTTGTTAGTCTTAACTTCTGTTTTTATTGCACTGTGGTTTGAGAGTGTGTTTGATATAATTTCTGTTCTTTTGCATTTGCTGAGGATTGTTTTGTGTGTGATCGTGTTGTCAATTCTAGAGAGTATGTGTCATGTGGTGATGAGAAGAATGTATGTTCTGTTGTTTTTGCATGGAGAGTTATGTAGAGGTCTTTGAGATTCATTTAGTCCAATGTTGAGTTCAGGTCGTGAATATATTTGTTAATTTTTTGACTTGATGGTCTTTCTAATACTGTAATTGGGATATTAAAGTTTCCCACTAATAATAGTGGGTTTTCTAGGTTTCTTTGTAAGTCTCTACTAACTTGCTTTATCAATCTGGGTGCTCTTGTGGTGGGTGCATATATATTTAGGATAGTTAGGTCTTCTCGTTGAATTGAACCTTTTACCATTATGTAATGCCCTTCTTTTGTCTTATTTGATCCTTTTTGTTTAAAGTCTGTTTTGTCTGAAATTAGGATTCCAATTTCTGCTTTTTTTCTAATTTCCATTTGCTTGGTAAATTTTCCTTCATTCCTTTATTTTGAGCCTACGGGTGTCATTGCGTGTGAGATGGATCTTTTGAAGACAGCTTACTATTGGATCTTGCGTTTTTATCCAGCTTGCCTCTCTTTTTCTTTTAAATGGGGACATTTAGCTCATTTACATTCAAAATTACTATCGATATGCATCAATTTGAACCTGTCATTATGTGATTAGCTGGTTATAATGCTGGCTTGTTTGTGTTGTTGCTTTATAGTGTCCCTGGTCTGTGTACTTAAGTGGGTTTTCATACTGGCTGGTAATTTTTTTTTTCCATATTTAGTGCTTTTTTCAAAGCTTATTGTAAGGCAGGTATGGTGGTAACAAATTTACTCAGAATTTGCCTATCTGAAAAGGATCTTATTTATCCCTTGCTTAGGCAGTTTAGTTTGGCTGAATATAAAATTCCTGATTGAAGTTTGTTTGTTTTTTTTTTAGAATGCTGAATATAGGCCCCCAATATACACTGGCTTGTAGGGTTTCTGCTGGGAGGTCTTCTGTCAGTCTGATGGCATTCCCTTTGTAGGTGACCTTTTCTTTCTAGCCAACTTTAACATACTTTCTTTCATTTTGACATTGGAAAAATCTGATGATTATGTGTTTTGGCAATAATCTTGTGTAGAATGCTGCAGGGGTTTCTCTGTATTTTCTAAATTTTACTGCTGGCCTCTCTAGTAAGATTGGGGATGTTTTCATGGATGATATCCTGAAATAAGTTTTCCAATTTGTTTGCTTTTCCCCATATTTTTCAAGAATGCCAATGATTCATAGATGTGTCCTCTTTACATAATCTCATATGTTTTGTAGGTTTTGTTCACTTCTTTTTATGCTTTTTTCTTTCTTTATTTATTTTTCTGATTGTCTGTTCCAGAGAGCTCATCTTCAAGTTCTAAGGTTCTTTCCTCAGCATGGTCTGTCCTGCTTTTTATACTTGTGAATGCATTGTGAAATCGTTGTAGTGTGTTTTTCAGGTCCATATAATCAGTTAGGTTCCTTTCTATACTGACTATTTTTTTTCTGACAGCTCTTATATTGCTTTATTGTGATTTTTAGTTTCCTTGGATTGGGTTTTGCAATTCTGAATTTTGATGATCTTTGTTCTTATCCATATGTTGAATTCTATTTCTGTAATTTCAGCTAGCTCAGTCTTGTAAGACCCTTGTTTGAGAAATAGTGTGGTCATTTGGAAGACATAAGATGTTTTGGCATTTGAGTTGCTAAAGTTCTTGCATTGTTTATTTTCTCATTTCAGTATGTGGGTGTTCCTTTAACTGTGCGGTGTAGGCTTCTTTTCTGGATTTTTTTTCAGAGCCAAGGCTTTGTGCATGGTCTTTATTTGTAGCTTATTTCTTGCCTTTGGCTTCACAAGTGTGTATGTTAGTGAGGTAATTTTTTGTGTTGAAGCTTTAAGGTGTGATTCAGTAGGTGGCGCTTAGGTGTAATGCTCAGTTGGAAGGCCCTTTCTCAGTTGTGTGGCTGCCTTATATTTCCTCACAGTTGTATCTGTGCTCCCTTTTAATGCTTTGAAACTGTGAGCTTCTGTCTCACTTGAGTGCTGGCTATAGATCATATCTTGGCATTCCTGGGCTGCCTGCCACAGCTCTGTGGTGATCTCAGAGTTTAGGTTTTCACCCCAACTCAGAAGCAGCAGAGGAAAGGACCTTAGTAGTGGTTGTGGCTGAGGGGCTTTTGCTGGTCTCCTGGGGGCTCCACCCTAGAGAGGTGCAGGTTAGCAATTGCTCAGTGCAATAAGCCCAGGATAGGGGCCCTGTGCTGTTGGCCCAAGCTGGGGGTTCCCTGCTTAGTGATAAGCATGGACAGTGGGTGGGACTTGTGAAAGATGGACTGGACTTCTCTCTTTGAGTCAACTGAAGCTTGTTGAAGGTGTGGATAAGGCACTTAGGATCTTTGTTCCTTTGTTAGTTCAAGAGTAGCAGTGGTAGTACCACTGCAGTGGCAGTGGCAGAGAATAAGCTTTTGTTTGACCCTGGAGGTTCCACCTCTGAGAAATATGGAGCTGCTGTTACTGGGAGTGTTTAGCTTGTGGGACGCGGTGGCTGTCCAGCTGGAATAAACTTGGGGCCCTGCTTGTTGGGGAGCAGAAAGTTGAGGGCTCACCAGGAAGAGAGATTTTTCTCCTCTCTATATGGTGACTGTGGCATGCTTGGGTCTAGACCTCAAGCTCTTTGTTTTTTCCCCAGACTGAGGGTGGCAGGGATAGAACTGTTGCTGTGACAGTGGCAGAGGTGCCATTATATATGTTCACATCCTCTTGATCTCTCTTATGTCCTCTGTACCAATCTAGAGGAACAGGCCTGCTAGTGACAGTTCTTTTAGCTTTTGTTTCTCTGGGAATGTCTTAGTTTCTTCATTTTTGAAGTTTTGCTGGATATAGAATTTTTTATTGAAAATTTATTTTTATTTTAGCATCTTAAATTTGTCATTTCATGGCCTTCTGGCATCCATGGTCTCTAAAACTGGCCATTAAACAATTGTCTCTTAATCTTTGTAAGATTTTTTGCATCTAATGATTCCCCCTTATTTTGCTGCTTTCAAGATTGTTTCCTCCTTTAGCTTTTGACAGTTTGATTTTAATGTGTGTTAAAGTGGATCTCTGAGTTTATCCTACTTGGGGTTCATTGAGTTTCTTGAATGTGTACATTTATGTCTTTCATCAAATTTGGGAAGTTTTTAATTATTTCTTCAAATATCCTTTCTGCTACTTTTTCTCTCCTCTGCTTCTGGTATTTGAATTATGCCTATGATGGTATGTTTGACAATGGCCCACCAGTTTGTTAGGTGTTGCTTATTTTTCTTCCTTCTTCCTTTTTTCCTGCATGTCAGACTAAATAATCTCAAATGACATACCTTCAAGTTCATTTATTCTTTCTTTTGCCATTCAAACTTTGCTGTTGAATCTCTCTAGTTTTTTTAATATAATTTTTTATTTTTTAGAGTAGATTTACGTTCACAGCAAAATTAAGCAGAAAGTACAAAGAGTTTTTGCATATTCTCTGCCCCCAAACACGCAGAACAACCCTCAATATTAACACTTGTATCACAGTAGTACTCTTTTTGTTTTTTGGCTTATTCATTTTATTTATTTATTTTTTCTTTTTGAAATACTATTTTAGGTTCAAGGGTTACATATGCAGGTTTGTTACATGAGCAAATTGCATGTCACTAGGATTTGGCATACAAATTATTATTATTATTGTTTAATTATCATTATACTTTAAGTTTTAGTGTACATGTGCACAATGTGCAAGTTAGTTACATATGTATACATGTGCCATGCTGGTGCGCTGCACCCACTAACTCGTCATCTAGCATTAGGTATATCTCCCAATGCTATCCCTCCCCCCTCCCCCCACCGCACAACAGGCCCCAGAGTATGATATTCCCCTTCCTGTGTCCATGTGTTCTCATTGTTCAATTCCCACCTATGAGTGAGAATATGCGGTGTTTGGTTTTTTGTTCTTGCAATAGTTTACAGAGAATGATGATTTCCAATTTCATCCATGTCCCTACAAAGGACATGAACTCATCATTTCTTATGTCTGCATAGTATTCCATGGTGTATATGTGCCACATTTTCTTAATCCAGTCTATCATTGTTGGACATTTGGGTTGGTTCCAAGTCTTTGCTATTGTGAATAATGCTGCAATAAACATATGTGTGCATGTGTCTTTATAGCAGCATGATTTATAGTCCTTTGCGTATATATCCAGTAATGGGATGGCTGGGTCAAATGGTATTTCTAGTTCTAGATCCCTGAGGAATCGCCACACTGACTTCCACAATGGTTGAACTAGTTTACAGTCCCACCAACAGTGTAAAAGTGTTCCTATTTCTCCACATCCTCTCCAGCACCTGTTTTTTCCTGACTTTTTAATGATTGCCATTCTAACTGGTGTGAGATGGTATCTCATTGTGGTTTTGATTTGCATTTCTCTGATGGCCAGTGATGGTGAGCATTTTTTCATGTGTTTTTTGGCTGCATAAATGTCTTCTTTCGAGAAGTGTCTGTTCATGTCCTTTGCCCACTTTTTGATGGGGTTGTTTGTTTTTTTCTTGTAAATTTGTTTGAATTCATTGTAGATTCTGGATATTAGCCCTTTGTCAGATGAGTAGGTTGTGAAAATTTTCTCCCATTTTGTAGGTTGCCTGTTCACTCTGATGGTAGTTTCTTTTGCTGTGCAGAAGCTCTTTAGTTGAATTAGATCCCATTTGTCAATTTTGGCTTTGGTTGCCATTGCTTTTGGTGTTTAAGACATGAAGTCTTTGCCCATGCTTATGTCCGGAATGGTAATGCATAAGTTTTCTTCTAGGGTTTTTATAGTTTTAGGTCTAACGTTTAAGTCTTTAATCCATCTTGAATTGATTTTTGTATAAGGTGTAAGGAAGGGATACAGTTTCAGCTTTCTACATATGGCCAGCCAGTTTTCCCAGCACCATTTATTAAATATGGAATCCTTTCCCCATTGCTTGTTTTTCTCAGGTTTGTCAAAGATCAGATAGTTGTAGATATGCGGCATTATTTCTGAGGGCTCTGTTCCGTTCCATTGATCTATATCTCTGTTTGGTACCAGCACCATGCTGTTTTGGTTACTGTAGCCTTGTAGTATAGTTTGAAGTCAGATAGTGTGATGCCTCCAGCTTTGTTCTTTTGGCTTAGGATTGACTTGGTGATGCGGGCTCTTTTTTGGTTCCATATGAAGTTTAAAGTAGTTTTTTCCAATTCTGTGAAGAAAGTCATTGGTAGCTTGATGGGGATGGCATTGAATCTGTAAATTACCTTGGGCAGTATGGCCATTTTCACGATATTGATTCTTCCTACCCATGAGCATGGAATGTCCTTCCATTTGTTTGTATCCTCTTTTATTTCCTTGAGCAGTGGTTTGTAGTTCTCCTTGAACAGGTCCTTCACATCCCTTGTAAGTTGGATTCCTCGGTATTTTATTCTCTTTGAAGCAATTGTGAATGGAATTTCACTCATGATTTGGTTCTCTGTCTGTTTTTGGTGTATAAGAATGCTTGTGATTTTTGTACATTGATTTTGTATCCTGAGACTTTGCTGAAGTTGCTTATCAGCTTAAGGAGACTTTGGGCTGAGACAATGGGGTTTTCTAGATATACAGTCATGTCGTCTGCAAACAGGGACAATTTGACTTCCTCTTTTCTTAATTGAATACCCTTTATTTCCTTCTCCTGCCTGATTGCCCTGGCCAGAACTTCCAACACTATGTTAAATAGGAGTGATGAGAGAGGTCATCACTGTCTTGTGCCAGTTTTCAAAGGGAATGCTTCCAGTTTTTGCCCATTCAGTATGATATTTCCTGTGGGTTTGTCATAGACAGCTCTTATCATTTTGAAATATGTCCCATCAATACCGAATTTATTGAGAATTTTTAGCATGAAGGGTTGTTGAATTTTGTCAAAGGCCTTTTCTGCGTCCATTGAGATAACCATGTGGTTTTTGTCTTTGCTTCTGTTTATATGCTGGATTACCTTTATTGATTTGCATATATTGAACCAGCCTTGCATCCCAGAGATGAAGCCCACTTGATCATGGTGGATAAGCTTTTTGATGTGCTGCTGGATTCGGTTTGCCAGTATTTTATTGAGGATTTTTGCATCGATGTTCATCAAGGATATTGGTCTAAAATTCTCTTTTTTGGTTGTGTCTCTGCCCGGCTTTGGTATCAGGATGATGCTGGCCTCATAAAACGAGTTAGGGAGGATTCCCTCTTTTTCTATTGATTGGAATAGTTTCAAAAGGAATGGTACCAGTTCCTCCTTGTACCTCTGGTAGAATTCGGCTGTGAATCCATGTGGTCCTGGACTCTTTTTGGTTGGTTAGCTATTGATTATTGCCACAATTTCAGATCCTGTTATTGGTCTACTCAGAGATTCAACTTCTTCCTGGTTTAGTCTTGGGAGAGTGTATGTGTCCAGAAATTTATCCATTTCTTCTAGATTTTCTAGTTTATTCGCATAGAGGTGTTTGTAGTATTCTCTGATGGTAGTTCACATTTCTGTGGGATCGGTGGTGATATCCCCTTTATCATTTTTTATTGTGCCTATTTGATTCTTCTCTCTTTTTTTCTTTATTAGTCTTGCTAGCAGTTTATCAATTCTGTTGATCCTTTCAAAGAACCAGCTCCTGGATTCATTAATTTTTTGAAGGGTTTTTTGTGTCTCTATTTCCTTCAGTTCTGCTCTGATTTTAGTTATTTCTTGTCTTCTGCTAGCTTTTGAATATGTTTGCTCTTGCTTTTCTAGTTCTTTTAATTGTGATGTTAGGGTGTCAATTTTGGATCTTTCCTGCTTTCTCTTGTGGGCATTTAGTGCTATAAATTTCCCTCTACACACTGCTCTGAATGTGTCCCAGAGATTCTGGTATGTTGTGTCTTTGTTCTCGTTGGTTTCAAAGAACATCTTTATTTCTGCCTTCATTTTGTTATGTACCCAGTAGTCATTCAGGAGCAGGTTGTTCAGTTTCCATGTAGTTGAGTGGTTTTGAGTGAGATTCTTAATCCTGAGTTCTAGTTTGATTGCACTGTGGTCTGAGAGATAGTTTGTTATAATTTCTTTTCTTTTACATTTGCTGAGGAGAGCTTTACTTCCAAATACGTGGTCAATTTTGGAATAGGTGTGGTGTGGTGCTGAAAAAATGTATATTCTGTTGATTTGGGGTGGAGAGTTCTGTAGATGTCTATTAGGTCTGCTTGGTGCAGAGCTGAGTTCAATTCCTGGGTATCCTTGTTGACTTTCTGTCTCGTTGGTCTGTCTAATGTTGACAGTGGGGTGTTAAAGTCTCCCATTATTAATGTGTGGGAGTCTAAGTCTATTTGTAGGCCACTCAGGACTTGCGTTATGAATCTGGGTGCTCCTGTATTGGGTGCATATATATTTAGGATAGTTAGCTCTTCTTGTTGAATTGATCCCTTTACCATTAGGTAATGGCCTTCTTTGTCTCTTTTGATCTTTGTTGGTTTAAAGTCTGTTTTATCCGAGACTAGGATTGCAACCCCTGCCTTTTTTTGTTTTCCATTTGCTTGGTAGATCTTCCTCCATCCTTTTATTTTGAGCCTATGTGTGTCTCTGCATGTGAGATGGGTTTCCTGAATACAGCACACTGATGGGTCTTGACTCTTTATCCAATTTGCCAGTGTGTGTCTTTTAATTGGAGCATTTAGTCCATTTACATTTAAAGTTAATATTGTTATGTGTGAATTTGATCCTGTCATTATGATGTTAGCTGGTTATTTTGCTCGTTAGTTGATGCAGTTTCTTCCTAGTCTTGATGGTCTTTACATTTGGGTATGATTTTGCAGCGGCTGGTACCGGTTGTTCCTTTCCATGTTTAATGCTTCCTTCAGGAGCTCTTTTAGGGCAGGCCTGGTGGTGACAAAATCTCTCAGCATTTGCTTGTCTGTAAAGAATTTTATTTCTCCTTCACTTATGAAGCTTAGTTTGGCTGGATATGAAATTCTGGGTTGAAAATTCTTTTCTTTAAGAATGTTGAATATTGGCCCCCACTGTCTTCTGGCTTGTAGAGTTTCTGCCGAGAGATCCACTGTTAGTCTGATGGGCTTCCCTTTGAGGGTAACCCGACCTTTCTCTCTGGCTGCCCTTAACATTTTTTCCTTCATTTCAACTTTGGTGAATCTGACAATTATGTGTGTTGGAGTTGCTCTTCTCGAGGAGTATCTTTGTGGCGTTCTCTGTATTTCTTGAATCTGAATGTTGGCCTGCCTTGCTAGATTGGGGAAGTTCTCCTGGATAATATCCTGCAGAGTGTTTTCCAACTTGGTTCCATACTCCCCATCACTTTCAGGTACACCAATCAGACATAGATTTGGTCTTTTCACATAGTCCTATATTTCTTGGATGCTTTGCTCATTTCTTTTCATTCTTTTTTTCTCTAAACTTCCCTTCTCGCTTCATTTTATTCATTTCATCTTCCATTGCTGATACCCTTTCTTGCAGTTGATCACATTGGCTCCTGAGGGTTCTGCATTCTTCACGTAGTTCTGGAGCCTTGGTTTTCAGCTCCATCAGCTCCTTTAAGCACTTCTCTGTATTGGTTATTCTAGTTATGCATTCTTCTAAATTTTTTTCAAAGTTTTCAACTTCTTTGCATTTGGTTTGAAAGTCCTCCCATAGCTCGGAGTAATTTGATCATCTGAAACCTTCTTCTCTCAGCTCGTCAAAGTCATTCTCCATCCAGCTTTGTTCCGTTGCTTTTGAGGAACTGTGTTCCTTTGGAGGAGGACAGGCGCTCTGCTTTTTAGAGTTTCCAGTTTTTCTGCTCTGTTTTTTCCCCATCTTTGTGGTTTTATCTACTTTTGGTCTTTGATGATGGTGATGTACAGATGAGTTTTTGGTGTGGATTTCCTTTCTGTTTGTTAGTTTTCCTTCTAACAGACAGGACCCTCAGCTGCAGTTCTGTGGGTGTACGGGGCCATGTGAGGTGTCAGTCTGCCCCTGCTGGGGGGTGCCTCCCAGTTAGGCTGCTGAGGGGTCAGGGGTCAGGGACCCACTTGAGGAGGCAGTCTGCCCGTTCTCAGATCACCAGCTGCGTGCTGGGAGAACCACTGCTCTGTTCAAAGCTATCAGACAGGGACATTTAAGTCTGCAGAGGTTACTGCTGTCTTTTTGTTTGTCTGTGCCCTGCCCCCACAGGTGGAGCCTACAGAGGCAGGCAGGCCTCCTTGAGCTGTGGTGGGCTCCACCCAGTTCAAGCTTCCCGGCTGCTTTGTTTACCTAATCAAGCCTGGGCAATGGCAGGCGCCCCTCCCTCAGCCTGGCTGCCACCTTGAAGTTTGATCTCAGAGTGCTGTGCTAGCAATCAGCGCAACTCCATGGGCGTAGGACCCTCTGAGCCAGGTGTGGGATATAATCTCCTGGTGGGGCGTTTTTTAAGCCCTTCGGAAAAGCGCAGTATTCGGGTGGGAGTGACCCTATCTTCCAGGTGCCGTCTGTCACCCCTTTCTTTGACTAGGAAAGGGAACTCCCTGATCCCTTGCGCTTCCCGAGTGAGGCAATGCCTCGCCCTGCTTTGGCTTGCACATGGTGCACGCACCCACTGACCTGCGCCCACTGTCTGGCACTCCCTAGTGAGATGAACCTGGTACCTCAGATGGAAATGCAGAAATCACTCGTCTTCTGTGTCACTCACGCTGGGAGCTGTAGACCGGCGCTGTTCCTATTCGGTCATCTTGGCTCCTCCCCTCGGCATACAAATTATTTTATCATCCAGGTAGTGAGCATAGTACCCAATAGGTAGTTTTACAATCCTCACCCTCTTCCTACCCTCCATCCTCAAGTAGGCCCTAGTGTCCATTATTCTCCTCTTTGTGTCTGTGTGTACTCAATGTTTAGCTCCCACTTATAAGTGAGAACATGTGGTATTTGGTTTTCTGTTTCCGAATTAATTCTCTTTTTTTTTTAACACTTTCTGAATTAATTCTCATAGGATAACGGCCTTCCAGCTTCCATCATGCTGTTAAGAACATAATTTCATTTTTTATGGCTGCATAGTATTTTATAATGTATATGTACCACATTTTTTATTTCAGTACAGTGATGCTTTTTTTTTAATAATCAGTGAACCTACATTGATACACATCCTTATCACCCAAAGTACACAGTGGTTTTTCAGGATTGTCTACAACTATTAGAGTAGTGCATGGATAAACACTGACCCTAATCATGTGCTGTGATGTGGGCTACACCAACTACAGTACACCCTATAATACTTCCTGGGGCTGTGGACTGTGTATTGGAAAGAAGGGATGGGCAGAGTAGGTGGAGAGCATGTGACTACAGGTATTGAAGCTGCTCTCAGATTTGAATTACTGTTATGGAACCTATGCTTATTACACAAATGATATGCATTGCTATTGCTGTCTTCTTGGATTTCAAAATTATTTTTTTTTTAGCTTCATAAATATAGATGTCTTTTGTTTGGAGATAGCTCTACTTGCTTCACAAAATGCAAAAATACCTTCATTCTCCTTTTACATAGTACATTATCAAGGCATTTCAATCACCTGCTATTCACCCCATTGTTGAGAAAGGGATTCCTACCCTAAGGTTATGGTGATGTTTGAACACACAACATTCAGCAGAGGACAGATGAGATTGACAGAGGTTTATCAATCACCTGTACTCACAGCCTGGGTGGAGCATACCACATACTATGTAGGGCCACATGAGAAATGTACTCAGGAATAGAATACACAACCGAGGGCTGCAGGAGGCAGCTTTTGCAATATCAAGAGTATAGGTGGGAAGATGTGATTGGCTTATTGAAATAATACCATGAGCTGGCAGGGAACTGAAAACTGCTATTCAGAGATAAGAAAGAATTGTGTATGGTCCTCTTGATAAGGAGAATTGTTTGGCTAGGGGACCTCATCCATTGCAACAGAGTGGGGAAGAAAATTTAGGATTATGCCATTTGAGGTCCTGTCTGTTTCACCAGATGCCAAAAAGGGATATCAATTTGGGCTTCAATTTTAGGCCTTATGCCACAAAAAGTTATAAATTGACCAACTAAGTAGAAATTGCAAAGAAGAGATAGCCAGAAACAATAATAAGGTAGGGCAAAACAGTCTGCCAGGGTCTGTCACCATCCCATACAGGAGCTATAGTTCCTTTATAGCTCCTGTATTAATGACACAGTTCCTGCATTAGGTTCTGAGACTAGGAGCTTGTTTTCAGAATACAGTTCCTAGAACCTTTTTACAACTTATTATATAGTTTAACGTCATATTTAAAATTTAAGCAACCATACAAATTTTAAGACCACTTACATAAACTTTTAATTTTAAAATAGTTCTAGTTTTACAGAAAAACTGGAAAAATAGTACAGAGACTTACCATATACCCTACATGCAGTTTCTTCTATTATTAACATCGTATTTTAGTATGCAACATTTGTTCTAATTAATGAGCCAATATTGATGCATTATTTTAAATAAAATTTATACCTTATTTAGATTTCCTCAGTTTTTACTTAACGTCATTTTTCTATTCCAAGATCCAGATTACCACATTACATTTAGTTGTCACGTTTTCTTAGGTTTCATTTGGCTGTGACAGTTTCTCAGATTTTCCTCATTTTTGATGATGTTGACAGGTTTGAGGTATATTAGTCAGGAATTTTATAGAATACTTCTCTATAGGGATTTGCCTGTTTTTACTATCATTAAACTGAGGTTATGGGTTTTTGGGAAGTTGACCACATAGGGAAACTGCCATTTTCATCACATCATTTTAAGGGTGCATGCTATCAATATGACTTATAATTGATGAAGTTAACTTTGATCACTTGACTGAGGTTTTGTTTGCCACACTGGTGCCATGAATTTTTCTCACTCTTCCCACTGCATACTGAACCCTTTGGAGGGAAATTAATATACACAGCTCAGATTTAAGAAGCAGAAGTATCTTTTATCTTCTTGAAGGCAGAGACTTACAAATATATTTTAGAATTTTTTTGCAAAGGAGATTTGCTTCTTCTTCCCAATTTATTCAAGCATTTATTTACATAAGTATAAATTTATGAATATTTCTTTTGTACTTTGCATTATAATCTGATACCATTTTAATATTTCATTGTGCAAATTGTTCCAGATTTGGTGATTATGAGCTAAGTTGGCTCTCATATCCCTTCGATTCATCCCTATCAAGGTGGGATTGTTTAAAATGACCTCCTCATTTTCTTGTACTAAAAGATGCTCCAAGCTCATTTTGCATATTTCTTGTCCCAGTTCTAGCATCAGTCATTTCTCCAAGGAACCCTGTTTTTTTTTTACCAGAGAATGTGTTTAAAAACCACATCTGGGTCCTAGGTATGCTTGTAGCTACTGAGGTGTTTCTAGCACCCAAGTCTCAGAGATAGACATGTTATTATTTATTAAAAACACTTTTCTCTCTTTTTCCTATAGTAATATAAATTATGATACTTTCTTTGCAATAGCTAGAAATAGGAAAGAGTTCACCTGTTCTTGCCAGACCCTGAAATTATCTCCAAGATCTAATTCCCTTGCCAACCAAATTAGTTTCTCTGAGATCAATTTTCAAGCCTGAAGCCCACCACTCATTACACCTCTGCCAAAGAAAATGGTGTGTTTTATAGCCCTCTTATGTTTGTATTGTCTTGGTTATTTCTTTTGTCTCCATGGCTCCTCAGAACTCCCCTCTGTCTTATACTAACATGTGAGAACTTTAAACGTGTTTACAAACACAGAGTTCTTCATATTTTTTTTATAGTAGTTATAGAAGCCAAAGAAAATTTGTACTTTATGATAGTTGTTGGGATGTGGCCGGTGGCAATAAAATAGTATTCCTTTCCATTATTGCAAATACCGCTGTATATATTTCATGCTGCTTTGATGGAACTGCCACTTCCATTTATGCAACAGCAAATATTGTCTACTATGTGCTGGTCATGCTTTGAGGTTTTGAGAATACCTTAGTGGACAAGACTTATTTTCTGCTTATGTAGACCTTATATTCTTGTGATAGTTTTTTTTTAAAAGGGGCTTTTATGTAAAAATTTAAAAGTTGCCACACTCAGGCCTTTTTTTGTTCCCGACGAGGGCTCTCTGAGCATCAGTCCTTTTTATTCTTGTTTGTTTTTAAATATTATTTCCTCATCTCAACCTCCAAATTAGGTTATTTTGGACTTCACAGTCCTTGAAATGCCAAGACACTCTTCACTCTGAACAAGGTCATGTCATTTCTCTACTATTTGAATATCACACTATCATTGTTCCCTTTTGGCATTCTTTACTGTTTCATATGGTCTGGCTGTGTCCCCATCCAAATCTCGTGTCAAATTGTAATCCCCAGTTTTGGAGGAGGGGTTTGGTGAAAGATGATGAAATCATGGGGGCAGTTTCTAATGGTTTAGCACCACCCTCCTAGTGCTGTCTCAGGATAGAGTTCTCATGAAATGTGGTGTTTGAAAGTTTGTAGCACTTCCTCCTTTCACTCTCTCTCTCTCCTGCTTCACCATGTGAAGAATTACTCATTTTCTCTTTGACTTCTGCCATGACCTTTAGTTTTCTGAGGCTTCCCACCCATGCCTCCTGTACAGCCCATGGAACTATGAGTCAACTAAACCTATTTTCTTTATAAATTACCCAGTCTCAAGTAGTTTTTTAAAGCAGTGTGAGAACAGAGTAATACAGAAAATGGATAACAGAGAAGTGGAGCATTGCTACAAAAATACCTGAAAATGTGGAAGTGAGTTTGGAACTGGGCAACAGACAGAGATTGGAACAGTTTGGAGGGCTCAGAAGAAGATAGGAAGATGAGAGAAAGTTTGGAACTTCCTAGAGACTATTTGAATGGCTGTGACCAAAATGATGATAGTGACATGGACAATGATGTCCAGGCTGAGGAGGTATCAGATGGAGATGAGGAACTTATTGGGAACTGCAGTAAAGATCAATCTTGCTATGCTTTAATAAAGAGACTGACAGCATTGTGCTTCTGCTCTAGATATCTGTGGAACTTTGAACTTGAGAAAGACAATTTAGAGTATCTGGCAAAATAAATTTCTAAGCAGCAAAGCATTCAAGATATGACCTGGCTGCTTCTCACAGCATATACTCATATTTGTGAGCAAAGAGGTTTTCTGAAATTGGAACTTACATTTAATGGGAAAGCAGAGCATAAAAGTGGAAAAATTGCAGGCTGACCATGTGGTATAAAATAAAAACCCATTTTCTGGAGAGGAATTCAAGGATGCAGAAATTCACAAAACTAAAGGGGAGCTGAATGTTAGTAGCCAAGACAATGGGGAAAATGACTCCAAGGCATTTCATAGGCCTTCACTGCAGGCCCTCCCATCACAAATCTGTAGGCTTAGGAGGGAAAAAATGGTTGCATGGGGCACATCCAGGGCTCCACTGCCCTGTGTAGCCTTGGGACATGGCACCCTGCATCCCAGCTGCTCCTTCCCAAGCCATGGTTAAAAGGAGGCAAAGTACATCTCATGCCGTTGCTTCAGAGGGTGCAAGCCCGAAACCTTGGAAACTTCCATATGGTGTTGGGTCAGTGAGTGTGCAGAGGACAAAACTTGAGGCTTGAGAGCCTCTACCTAGATTTCACTGGATGTATGGAAATGCCTGTATGTTCAGGTAGAAGTCTGCTGCAGGAGCAGAGCCGTCATGGAGAACCTCTACTAGGGCAGTGCAAAAGAAAAATATGGGGTTGGTGCCCCCACACAGAGTCCTTACTGGGGAACTGCCTAGTAGAGCTGTGAGAAGAGGGCTACCATCCTCCAGACCCCACAATGGTAGATCAACAAGCAGCTTGCACTGAGTAACTGGAAATGCCATAGGCACTCAATGCCATCCCGTAATAACAACCATGGGGGTTGTAACCTGCAAAGCCACAGAGGCAGAGCTACCTAATTCCTTGAGATCCCACCCCCTGCATCAGTGTGGCCTAGATGCGAGACATGCAGTCAAAAAAGACTATTTTGGACCTTTAAGATTTAATGACTGCCCTATTGGGTTTCAGACTTGCTTTTGGCCTGTAGCCCCTTTGTTTGGCCAATTTTCCCCTTTTGGAATGGGAATATTTACCCAATACCTGTACCCTCATTGTGTCTTGGAAGTAACTAACTTGCTTTTGATTTTCCAGGCTCATAGGCAGAATAGACTTGCCTTGTCTCAGATGAGACTTTGGACTCGGAATTTTGAGTTAATGCTGAAATGAGTTAAGGCTTAGGAGACTGTTGAGAAGACATGAATGTGTTTTGAAATGTGAGAAGGACACGAGATTTGGGAGAGGTTGGGGAAAATAATATGATTTGGCTGTGTCCCCACCCAAATTTTATGTCAAATTTTAATTCACAGTGTAGGAGGATGAGCCTGGTAAGAAGTGATTCAATCATGGGGGTGGTTTTCCTCTAGTGCTAATGATAAAGTTCTCATAAGGTCTCACATGAAGATAGCTTCCACCTAGTCTCATAATGGGGTTCTCACAAAATCTGATTGTTTGAAAGTGTGTAGCACTTTTCTGTTGCTCTCTTTCTTCTGCTCCAACATGTGAAGACTTCATACTTCCCCTTTACCTTCTGCCATGATTGTAAGTTTCCTGAGGCCTCCCAGCAATGCCTCCTGTGCAGCCTGCAGAACTGTGGGTCAACTAAACCTCTTTTATTTATAAATTACCCAGTCTCTGGTAGTTTTTTTATTTCAATATGTATTTGGGGAAACAGGTGGCGTTTATTGGATGAATAAGTTCTATACTGGTAATTTCTGAGATTTTGGTGCATCCAACACTTGAGCAGTGTACGCTATACCCAATGTGTAGTCTTTTATCCCTCGGCCCCTCCCATCCTTTCCCCCAAGTCCCCAAAGTCCATTGTATCATTCTTATGCCTCTGCATCTTCATACCATATCCCACTTATGAGTGAGAACATACACTGTTTGGTTTTTCATTCCTGAGTTACTTCACTTTAAATAATGGTCTCCAATTCCATCCAGGCTACTGTGAATGCCATTATTTCATTACTTTTTGTGGCTGAGTAGAATTCCATGGTATATATACCAAAATTTCTTCATCCATTTGTTGATTGATAAGCATTTTGGCTTGTTCAATATTTTTGCAATTACAAATTGTGCTGCTATATACATGCATGTGCAAGTATCATTTTGGTATAATGACTTCTTTTCCTCTAGGCAGATACCCAGTAGTGGAACTGCTGGATCACATTGTAGTTCTACTTTTAGTTATTTACGGAATCCCCATATTGTTTTCCATAGTGTTTCTACTAGTTTACATTCCCAAAAAAACTGTAAAAGTGTTCTCTTTACACCACACCCATACCAACATCTAATATTTTTTGATGTTTTGATTATGGCCATTCTGGCAGGACTGAGGTAGTATCACATTATGGTTTTGATTTGCATTTCCCTGATCATTAGCGATGTTGAGGATTTTTTCATATGTTTGTTGGCCATTTGTATATCTTATTTTGAGAATTGTCCATTCATGTCCTTAGCCCACGTTTTGATGAGACTGTTTTGTTCTTGTTGATTTGTTTGAGTTCCTTGTAGATTCTAGATATTAGTCCTTTGTGAGATGTGTAGATTGTGAAGATTTTCTCCCACTCTGTGAGTTGTCTGTATACTCTGCTGATTATCTATTTTGCTGTGCAGAAGCTTTTTAGTTTAATTAGGTCCTATCTTTGTTTATGTTGCATTTGCTTTTGGAGTCTTGGTCATGAAGTCTTTGCCTAAGCCAATGTCTAGAAGGGTTTTTCTTATGTTATCTTCTAGAATGTTTATGGTTACAGGGTCTTAGATGTAAGTATTTGATCAATTTTGAGTTGATTTTTGTATAAGTTGAGAGATGAGAATCCAGTTTTATTCTTCTACATGTGGCTTGCCAATTATCCCAGCACCGTTTGTTGAATATGGTATTCTTTCTCCACTTTATGTTTTTGTTTGCTTTGTCAAAGATCAGTTGACTGTAAGCGTTTGGTTTTATTTCTGGGCTCTCCATTCTGTTCTATGGGAGTATATGCCTATTTTTATGCATGTACCATGCTGTTTTGGTGACTATGGCTTTATAGTATAGGTTGAAGTTGGTTAATGTGAGCCTCCTGATTTGTTTTTTTTTGCTTAGTCTTACTTTGGCTATGCAGGCTCTTTTTTGGTTTCATATGAATTCTAGGATTCTTTTCCCGTTCTGTGAAGAATGATAGTTGTATTTTGATGGAAATTGCATTGAATTTGTAGATTGTTTTTGGCAGTATGGTCATTTTTACAATATCTATTCTACCCGTTCATGAGCATAGGATGTGTTTCCGTTTGTTTGTGTTGTCTATGATTTCTTTCAGCAGTGTTTTGTAGTTTTCCTTGTAGAGGTCTTTCACCTCCTTGGTTAAGTGTATTTCTACGTATTTTATTTTATTTTTTGCTGCTGTTGCAAAAATGCTTGTGTTTTCAATTTGATTCTTAGCTTGGTCGCTGTTGGTGTATAGCAGAGATACTGATTTGTGTACATTGATTTTGTATCCTGAAACTTTGCTGAATTTACTTATCTATTCTAGGAGTTTTTTGGATTAGTCTTTAGGGTTCTTGAAGTAAATGATCATATTGTCAGCAAACAGTGACATTTTGACTTCCTCATTACTGATTTGCATGTCCTTTATTTCTTTCTCTTGTCTGATTGCTATGTCTAGGAGTTCCAGCACTATGTTAAATAGAAGTGGTGAGAGTGCGCATCCTTGTCTTGTTCCAGTTGTCAGAAGGAATGCATTCAACTTTTCCCTGTTCAGTATAATGTTGGCTGTGGATTTGTCATGTTTTTCTATTTCTTGATAATAAATTTATATTTGTTATAATATATAGGATATTTAAGAAGCCCATAGAAGTATAAAAGTTTATATCTTATGCCTCTCTTTCCTCTAAAATGTCCTAGTACTCTCTATCCTTTCATCATGTCAGTTTATCATTTCTGTAGTAAGACATTATATTTTCTAGATTAAAGGTAGAATAGTATAAATCATGTAGCACCTGGTAATTCAGTATCATAAATACTTTTTTAAACTTTTATTTTCAGCTCAGGAGTACATATGGAGATGTGCTATCTAGGTAAACTCATGTTACGAGGGTTTGTTGTACAGATTACTTAGTCACCCATGTGCTAAGCCAAAGACTGAACAGTTATTCTTTCCGATTCTCTTTCTCCTCCCATCTTGTACCCTCATATAAGCCTCAGTGTCTATTGTTCCCTCTTTTGTGTCCATGTGTTCTTTTAATTTAGCTCCCACTTATAAGTGAAAACATGTGGTATTTGGTTTTCTGTTCCTGCACTAGTTTGGTAAAGATAATGGCCTCCAGTTCCATCCATGTTTCTGCAAAGGACGTGACTGCATTCTTTTTTATGGCTGCATAGTATTCCATAGTGTACATGCACCACATTTTTTTTTCTTTTTTTAAAATTTTAAGTTTGGGGGAACACGTGGTTTTTGGTTACATGAGTATCTTATTGGTGAATTCTGAGATTTTAGTGCACCCATCACCTGAGCAGTGTACACTGAACCCAACATGTTGTCTTTTAGCCCTCATCCTGCTCCCAACTTTCCCTGACCAAGTCTTCATAGTTCATTTTATCACTCTATGTTTTTGCATCCTCATAGCTTAGCACCCACTTATAAGTAAGAACATATAGTATTTGGTTTTCCATTCCTGAGTTTCTTCACTTAGAATAATGGCCTCCAGTTTTATTCAACTCACTGCAAAAGAAATGATTTTATTTATAACTCAGTAGTATCCCCTGGTGTAAATATACCACATTTTAAAAAAACACACACTGTGTATATTTTTTTAATACAGTAAAAACTTGATGGATACTTAGGTTGATTCCATGTCTTTGCTATTGTGAATAATGCCGCAATGAACATATGCAAACATGTGTCTTTCTAGCAGAATAATTTATATTCCTTTGGGTATACACTCAGTAATGGAATTGATGGATCAAATGGTAGTTCTGTTTTTAGCTCTTTGAGGAATGACCACACTGCACTTCACAATGGTTGAAATAATTTACATTCCCACCAGCAGTGTATAAGCGCTCCCTTTTCTCTGCAACCTTGCCAACACCTGTTACTTTTTGGCTTTTAAAAAATAGCCCTTCTTGAATGGTAATGCCTAGGTTTTCTTCTAGGGTTTTTATGGTTTTAGGTCTAACGTTTAAATCTTTAATCCATCTTGAATTGATTTTTGTATAAGGTGTAAGGAAGGGATCCAGTTTCAGCTTTCTACATCTGGCTAGCCAGTTTTCCCAGCACCATTTATTAAATAGGGAATCCTTTCCCCATTGCTTGTTTTTCTCAGGTTTGTCAAAGATCAGATAGTTGTAGGTATGCGGCGTTATTTCTGAGGGCTCTGTTCTGTTCCATTGATCTATATCTCTGTTTTGGTACCAGTACCATGCTGTTTTGCTTGCGGTAGCCTTGTAGTATAGTTTGAAGTCAGGTAGCATGATGCCTCCCGCTTTGTTCTTTTGGCTTAGGATTGACTTGGCAATGCGGGCTCTTTTTTGGTTCCATATGAACTTTAAAGTAGTTTTTTCCAATTCTGTGAAGAAAGTCATTGGTAGCTTGATGGGGATGGCATTGAATCTGTAAATTACCTTGGGCAGTATGGCCATTTTCATGACATTGATTCTTCCTACCCATGAGCATGGAATGTTCTTCCATTTGTTTGTATCCTCTTTTATTTCCTTGAGCAGTGGTTTGTACTTCTCCTTGAAGAGGTCTTTCACATCCCTTGTAAGTTAGATTCCTAGGTATTTTATTCTCTTTGAAGAAACTGTGAATGGGAGTTCACTCATGATTTGGCTCTCTGTTTGTCTGTTGTTGGTGTATAAGAATGCTTGTGATTTTTGTACATTGATTTTGTATCCTGAGACTTTGCTGAAGTTGCTTATCAGCTGAAGGAGATTTTGGGCTGAGACAATGGGGTTTTCTAGATATACAATCATGTCGTCTGCAAACAGGGACAATTTGACTTCCTCTTTTCCTAATTGAATACCATTTATTTCCTTCTCCTGCTTAATTGCCCTGGTGAGAACTTCCAACACTATGTTGAATAGGAGTGGTGAGAGAGGGCATCCCTGTCTTGTGCCAGTTTTCAAAGGGAATGATATAGGCATGGGCAAGGACTTCATGTCCAAACACCAAAAGCAATGGCAACAAAAGACAAAATTGACAAATGGGATCTAATTAATCTAAAGAGCTTCTGCACAGCAAAAGAAACTACCATCAGAGTGAACAGGCAACCTACAAAATGGGAGAAAATTTTCGCAACCTCCTCATCTGACAAAGGGCTAATATCCAGAATCTACAATTAACTCAAACAAATTTACAAGGAAAAAACAAACAACCCCATCAAAAAGTGGGTGAAGGACATGAACAGACACTTCTCAAAAGAAGACATTTATGCAGCCAAAAATACATGAAAAAATGCTCATCATCGCTAGCCATCAGAGAAATGCAAATCAAAACCACTATGAGATACCATCTCACACCAGTTAGAATGGCAATCATTAAAAAGTCAGGAAACAACAGGTGCTGGAGAGGATGTGGAGAAATAGGAACACTTTTACACTGTTGGTGGGACTGTAAACTAGTTCAACCATTGTGGAAGTCAGTGTGGCGATTCCTCAGGGATCTAGAACTAGAAATACCATTTGACCCAGCCATCCCATTACTGGGTATATACCCAAATGACTATAAATCATGCTGCTATAAAGACACATGCACACGTATGTTTATTGGGGCACTATTCACAATAGCAAAGACTTGGAACCAACCCAAATGTCCAACAATGATAGACTGGATTAAGAAAATGTGGCACATATACACCATGGAATACTATGCAACCATAAAAAATGATGAGTTCATGTCCTTTGTAGGGACATGGATGAAATTGGAAATCATCATTCTCAGTAAACTATCGCAAGAACAAAAAACCAAACACCGCATATTCTCACTCATAGGTGGGAATTGAACAATGAGATCACATGGACACAGGAAGGGGAATATCACACTCTGGGGACTGTGGTGGGGTGGGGGGAGGAGGGAGGGATAGCACTGGGAGATATACCTAATGCTAGATGACGAGTTAGTGGGTGCAGCACACCAGCATGGCACATGTATACATATGTAACTAACCTGCACAATGTGCACATGTACCCTAAAACTTAAAGTATAACAAAAATAAAAAAAATAGCCCTTCTTACTGGTGTGAGATGATATCTTGTTGTGGTTTAGATTTGAATTTTTCTGATGATCAGTGATATTGAGGGTTTTTAAAAAATATGCTTATTGGCCACATGTATATCTTCTTTTGAAAATTGTCTGTTCAAATGAGAACATATGGACACAGGGAGGGGAACATCACACACTGGGGCCTGTCTGGGGTTGGGAGGCAAGGGGATGGAGAGCATTAAGACAAATACTTAATGCATGCAGGGCTTAAAACCTAGATGATGGGTTGATAAGTGCAGCAAACCACCATGGCACATGTATACCTATGGAATAAACCTGCACATTCTGCACATGTATCCCATAACTTAAAGTAAAATAAAAAATAAAAAAAAAAATAAATCGTCTGTTCATATTCTTTACCCATTTTTTAATGGACTTATTTTTTTCTTGTATATTTGTTTAAGTTCCTTATAGATGTTGGATATTGACTTTTTTAAGATGCATAGTTTGCAAAATTTCTTCTTTTCTGTAGATTGTCTGTTTACTTTGTGTATAGTTTCTTTTGCTGTGTGGAAACTCTTTAGTTTAATTAGGTCCCACTTGTCAATTTTTGTTTTGGTTGCAATTGATTTTGGTGTCTTCATCATGAAATATTCTCCAGTTCCTATGTCCAGAATGGCATTGCCTAGGTTGTGTTCCAGGGTTTTTATAGTTTTCGGCTTTACATTAAGTCTTGAATCCATCTTGAGTTGATTTTTGTATACGATGTAGGAAACAAGTTCAGTGTTAATCTGTATATGGATGGCCAGTTATCTCAGCACCATTTATTGAATAAGGAGTCCTTTCCTCATTTCTTGTTTTCACCAAACTTCATCAAAGTTTCAGTATACAAAATCAATGTAGAATAATCACTAGCATTTCTATGCAACGACAATAACAAAGCTGAAAACCAAATCAGGAATGCAATCCTATTCACTATTGCAACATGAAGAATAATATACCTAGGAAGCTGAGAATCAAATCAAGAACTCAATTCCTTTTAAAACAGCTGCAAAGAAAATGCATAGAAATATACCTAACCACAGAGGTAAAAGATCTCTACAAGGAAATCTACAAAACACTGCTGAAAGAAGTCATAGATGACACAAACAAATGGAAACATATCCCATGCTCGTGAATGGGTAGAATCATTATTGTAAAAATAATCATATTGCCAAAAGCAATCTATAAATTCAATGCAATTCCCATCAAAATACCACCATCATTCTTCAAAGAACTAGAGAAAACAATCCTAAAATTCATATGGAACCAAAAAATCCTCTGCATTGCCAAAGCTAGACTAAGCAAAAAGATCAAATCTGTAGGCATCACATTACCCGACTTCAAGATGTACTACAAGGCTATAGTTTCCAAAACGGCATGGGCCTGGTATAAAGATAGGCACAAAGACCAATGGAACAGAATGGAGAACCCAGAAATAAAGCCAAATACTTATAGCTAACTGATCTTCAAAAAAACATACAAAAACATAAAGTTGGGAAAAGACATCATATTCAACAAACTGTGCTGGGATAATTGGAAAGTCACATGTAGAAGTATAAAAGTGAATCTCTATTTCTCACCTTACACAAAAATCAACACAAGATGAATTAAAGACTTAGACCTAAGACCAGAAACCATAAACCTTCTAGAAGATAACATTAGAAAAACTCTTTCAGATGTTGGCACAGGCAAAGAATTTATGACCAATAACCCAGAAGCAAATGCCATGAAAACAAAAAGAAATAAATAGGACTTGATTAAACTAAAAAGCTTCTGCACAGTAAAATAAATAATCAGCAGAGTAAATAGACAATCCATGAAGTGGAGGAAATTCTTTGCAAACCATGCATTTAACAAAGTACTAACATCCAGAATCTACAAGGAACTCAAACAAATCAGAAAAAAGAAATAATCCCATCAAAGAGTGGGCAAGGGACATGGATAGACAATTCTCAAAAGAAGATACACAAGAGGCCAAAAAGCATATGAGAAAAATGCTGAACCTCACTAAATATCAGAGAAATGCACATTAAAACTACAATGAGATCCCACATTACTCCTGCAAGAATGGGTATAATTATTATAAAAAGTAAAAAATAATAGATATTGGTATGGATGTGGTGAAAAGGGAACACTTTTATACTGGTGTTGGGAATGTAAATGTTTACAACTACTCTGGAAAACAGTATGGAGAGATCTTTAAAAACTGAAAGTAGAACTATCATTAGATCCAGCTATCCCTCTACTGAGTATCTACCCAAAGGAAATCATTATCTTAAAAAGAAACGTGCACCATGCATGTTTATAGCAGCACAATTTACAATTGCAAAAATATAGAACCATCCATAATGCCCATCAACCAACGAGTGAATAAAGAAAATATGGTATATATATATATATATATACACACATATATATACCATAGAATATGTGTGTGTGTGTATACATATGTATATACGTACATATATATATATACACACACACATACCATAGAATACTACTCAGCCTTAAAACGAACAAAATAATGGCATTCAAAGCAACCTGGATGGAGTTGGAGACCATTACTCTTAGTGAAGTAACTCAGGAATGGAAAACCAAATATTGTATGTTCTCAATTATAAGTGGGAGCCAAACTATGAGGATGAAAAGACAACAATAATATAATGGACTTTGGGGACTCAGGGAAAGGGTTGAAGAGGGGTGAGACATAAAAGTCTACACTTTGGGCACAGTGTACACTGCTCGAGTGATGGGTGCACCAAAATCTCAGAATTCACCACTTCAGAACTTATCCATGTAACAAAAAAACACTTGTTCCTCCAAAACTAATGAAATAAAAAGTTTAAAAAATACCAAAATGAGAATAAAATACCTAAAATTACAGCTAACAAGGGAAGTGAAAGGTCTCTACAATGTGAATTACAAAACAATGCTCAAAGAAATCAGAGATGCCAGAAAGAAATGGAAAAACATTCCATGCTCATTGAGAGGAAAAATCAATATTGTTAAAATGGCCATATTGCCCAAAGCAATGTATAGATTTAATGCTATTTCTATCAAACTTCCAACGACATTCTTCACAGAACTAGAAAAAGTATTTAAAAATTCATACAGAACTCAAAAAGGAGCCCAAATAGCCAAGGCAATCCTAAGCAAATAGAACAAAACTGTAGGTATTATCTTACCTGACTTCAAACTGTATCACAGGGTTACAGTAACCAAAGCTGTATGGTATCGGCACAAAAACAGACACATAAACCAATGGAACAGAATAGAGAACCCAGAAGTAAGGCTCCACACCTACAACAATCTGAATTTTGACAAATGCATAGACTGTAAATAAAATTTAAATAACTGGAATTTAGCCATCTAAAAATATGGTTTAAGTCAGAACACCAAGAATAGTTATATGTTAGAAAATTTATAAATTCACTTAATAGTTTCAAAGTTTTTGATAAATTCATGACTAAGAAAGGAATGGAATTAAAAAAACTTTTATATGTTAACAAATTTAATCCTAGCAACAACCTTACAATATTTTTCTATCATTATTATTCTTATCTTACAGGTAAATAGGCAGAAATATATTAAATAACTTTCCCCAACTATGCAATACACCAGCAACTAACACTAGAAAATGTAATTAGAGAAAGCTCCTTCTTGCCATAGCACAAAAATTATAATATGTCTTAGAGCAAACCTAAGAAGAAATATGAAATGGTAACATTTGATATGGTTTGGCTGTGTCCCCACTGAAATCTCAATTTGAATTTTATCTCCCAGAATTCCCACGTGTTGTGGGAGGGACCCAGTGGGAGGTAATTGAATCATGGGGGCTGGTCTTTCCTTTGCTATTCTTGTGATAGTGAATAAGTCTCACGAGATCTGATGGGTTTATCAGGGGTTTCTGCTTTTGCTTCTTCCTCATTCTCTGTTGCTGCCACCATGTAAGAAATATCTTTTGCCCTCCACCATGATTCTGAGACTTCCCCAGCCATGTGGAACTGTAAGTCCAATTAAACTTCTTTTTGTTCCTAGTTTCAGGTATGTCTTTATCAATGGTGTGGAGATGAACTAATACACATTTTATTGAATGGCACAATAAATGGGGAATAAACCATGCTCATCAATGGGAAAACCCAATAATATAAATTTGTCGGCTGCCTTGAAAACCCTTATTTGCACATTCACTCACACTTGAGGGTGAGTCACTCTCTGAAAGAGAGCAAAGTAATTTTCTGAAGGGAAGCTGCAGAATATGGAAAACATACATTGGAGCCACATGGACAATTATCAGCATGCAGGTGGAGCCAAGATGGCTGAATAGGAACAGCCCCAGTCTACAGCTCCCAGCGTGAGCGACGAAGAAGACGGGTGATTTCTGCATTTCCAACAGAGGTACCGGATTCATCTCACTGGCGAGTGCCAGACAGTGGGTGTAGGATAGTGTGTACAGTGCACCGTGCATTAGCTGAAGCAGGGCGAGGCATCGCCTCAACCGGGAAGTGCAAGGGGTCAGGGAATTCCCTTTCCTAGTCAAAGAAAGGGGTGACAGATGGCACCTGGAAAATCGGGTCACTCCCACCCTAATACTGCGCTCTTCCAATGGGCTTAACAAATGGCACACTAGGAGATTATATCCTGCACCTGGCCTGGAGGGTACTATGCCCACGGAGCCTCGCTCATTGCTAGCACAGCAGTCTGAGATCAAACTGCAAGGTGGAAGCCAGGCTGGGGGAGGGGCGCCCGCCATTGCTCAGGCTTGAGTAGGTAAACAAAGCGGCCAGGAAGCTCGAACTAGGTGGAGCCCACCACAGCTCAAGGGGGCCTGCCTGCCTCTGTAGGCTCCACCTCTGGGGGCAGGGCACAGACAAACAAAAGACAGCAATAACCTCTGCAGTCTTAAACGTCCCTGTCTGACAGCTTTGAAGAGAGTATTGTTTCTCCCAGTACGCAGCTTGAGATCTGAGAACGGGCAGACTGCCTCCTCAAGTGGGTCCCTGACCCCCGAGTAGCCCAACTGGGAGGCACCAACAAGTAGGGGCGGACTGACACCTCACAAGGCCGGGTACTCCTCTGAGACAAAACTTCCAGAGGAACGATCAGGCACCAGCATTTGTAGTTCACCAATATCCGCTGTTCTGCAGACACTGCTGCGGATACTCAGGCAAACAGGGTCTGGAGTGGACCTCCAGTAAACTCCAACAGACCTGCAGCTGAGGGTCCTGACTGTTAGAAGGAAAGCTAACAAACAGAAAGGACATCCACACCAAAAACCCATCTGTACATCACCATCATCAAAGACCAAAGTAGATGAAACCACAAAGATGGGGAAAAAACAGAGCAGAAAAACCGGAAACTCTAAAAATCAGAGTACCTCTCCTCCTCCAAAGGAACGCAGCTCCTCACCAGCAACGGAACAAAGCTGGATGAAGAATGACTTTGACGAGTTCAGAGAGGAAGGCTTCAGAACATCAAACTACTGTGAGCTAAAGGAGGAAGTTCGAACCAATGGCAAAGAAGTTAAAAACTTTGAAAAAAAACTAGATGAATGTATAACTAGAATAACCAATGCAGAGAAGTCCTTAAAGGACCTGATGGAGCTGAAAACCAAGGCATGAGAACTATGTGATGAATGCACAAGCCTCAGTAACCAATGAAATCAACTGGAAGAAAGGGTACCAGTGATGGAAGACGAAGTGAATGAAATGAAGCATGAAGAGAAGTTTAGAGAAAAAGAATAAAAAGAAATGAACAAAGCCTCCAAGAATTATGGGACTATGTGAAAAGACCAAATCTACATCTGATTGGTGTACCTGAAACTGACGGGGAGAATGGAAACAAGTTGGAAAACACTCTGCAGGATATTATCCAGGAGAACTTCCCCAATCTAGCAAGGCAGGCCAACATTCAAATTCAGGAAATACAGAGAATGCCACAAAGATACTCCTCGAGAAGAACAACTCCAGGACACATAATTGTCAGATTCACCAAAGTTGAAATGAAGGAAAAAATGTTAACGGCAGCCAGAGAGAAAGGTCGGGTCACCCACAAAGGGAAACTCATCAGACTAACAGCCGATCTCTCGGCAGAAACTCTACAAGCCAGAAGAGAGTGGAGGCCAATATTAAACATTCTTAAAGAAAAGAATTTTCAACCCAGAATTTCATATCCAGCCAAACTAAGCTTCATAAATGAAGGAGAAATAAAATACTTTACAGACAAGTAAATGCTGAGAGATTTTGTCACCACCAGGCCTGCCCTAAAAGAGCTCCTGAAGGAAGCACTAAACATGGAAAGGAAAAACTGGTACCAGCCACTGCAAAAACATGCCAAAATGTAAAGACCATCGAGACTAGGAAGGAACTGCATCAACTAACGAGCAAAATAACCAGCTAACATCATAATGACAGGATCAAATTCATACATAACAATACTAACCTTAAATGCAAATGGGCTAAATGCTCCAATTAAATGGCACAGACTGGCAAATTAGATAAAGAGGCAAGACCCATCAGTGTGCTGTATTCTGGAAACCTATTTCACTTGCAGAGACACACATAGGCTCAAAACAAAAGGATGGAGGAAGATCTACCAAGCAAACGGAAAACAAAAAAAGGCAGGGGTTGCAATCCTAGTCTCGGATAAAACAGACTTTAAACCAACAAAGATGAAAAGAGACAAAGAAGGCCATTACATAATGGTAAAAGGATCAATTCAACAAGAAGAACTAACTATACTAAATATATATGCACCCAATACAGGAGCACCCAGATTCATAAAGCAAGTCCTGAGTGACCTACAAAGAGACTTAGACTCCCACACAATAATAATGGGAGACTTTAACAACCCACTGTCAACATTAGAGAGATCAGTGAGACAGAAAGTTAACAAGGATATCCAGGAATTAAACTCAGCTCTGCACCAAGCAGACCTAATAGACATCTACAGAACTCTCCACCCCAAATCAACAGAATATACATTTTTTTTTAGCACCATACCACATCTATTCCAAAATTGACCACATATTGGAAGTAAAGCACTCCTCAGCAAATGTAAAAGAAAAGAAATTATAACAAACTGTCTCTCAGACCACACTGCACTCAAACTAGAACTCAGGATTAAGAAACTCACTCAAAACCGCTCAACTACATGGAAACTGAACAACCTGCTTCTGAATGACTACTGGGTATATAACAAAATGAAGGCAGAAACAAAGATGTCCTTTGAAACCAACGAGAAAAAAGACACAACATACCAGAATCTCTGGGACACATTCAAAGCAGCGTGTAGAGGGAAATTTATAACACTAAATGCCCACAAGAGAAAGCAGGAAAGATCTAAAATTGACACCCTAAAATCACAATTAAAAGAACTAGAGAATCAAGAGCAAACACATTCAAAAGCTAGCAGAAGGCAAGAAATAACTAAGATCAGAGTAAAGCTGAAGGAAATAGAGACCCAAAAAACCCTTCAAAAAATCAATGAATCCAGGAGCTGGTTTTTTGAAAAGATCAACAAAATTGATAGATCACTAGCAAGACTAATAAGAAGAAAAGAGAGAAGAATCAAATGGATGCAATAAAAAATGACAAAGGGGATATCACCACCGATACCACAGAAATACAAACTACCACCAGAGAATACTATAAACACCTCTACACAAATAAACAAGAAAATCTAGAAGAAATGGATAAATTCCTCGACACATACACCCTCCCAAGACTAAACCAGGAAGAAGTTGAATCTCTGAATAGACCAATAACAGGATCTGAAATTAAGGCAATAATTAATAGCTTACCAACCAAAAAAAGTCCAGGACCAGATGGATTCACAGCCGAATTCTACCAGAGGTAAAAGGAGGGGTTGGTACTATTCCTTTTGAAACTATTCTAATCAATAGAAAAAGAGGGAATCCTCCCTAACTCATTTTATGAGGCCAGCATCATCCTGATACCAAAGCCGGGCAGAGACACAACCAAAAAAGAGAATTTTAGACCAATATCCTTGATGAACATTGATGCAAACATCTTCAATAAAATACTGGCAAACCGAGTCCAGCAACACATCAAAAAGCTTATCCACCATGATCAAGTGGGCTTCATCACTGGGATGCAAGGCTGGTTCAACATACGAAAATCAATAAATGTAATACAGCATATAAACAGAACCAAAACAAAAACCACATGATTATCTCAATGGATGCAGAAAAGGCCTTTGACAAAATACAACAACCCTTCATGCTAAAAAATCTCAACAAGTTAGGTATTGATGGGACGTATCTCAAAATAATAAGAGCTGTCTATGACAAACCCACAGCCAATATCATAGTGAATGGACAAAAACTGGAAGCATTCCCTTTGAAAACTGGCACAAGACAGGGATGCCCTCTCTCATCACTCCTATTCAACATAATGTTGGAAGCTCTGGCCAGGGCAATCAGGCAGGAGAAGAAAATAAAGGGTATTCAATTAGGAAAAGAGGAAGTCAAATTGTCCCTGTTTGCAGATGACATGATTGTATGTATAGAAAACACCATCTTCTCTGCCCAAAATCTCCTTAAGCTGATAGGCAACTTCAGCAAAATCTCAGGATACAAAATCAATGTGCAAAAATCACAAGCATTGTTATACACCAATAACAGACAGAGAGCCAAATCATGAGTGAACTCCCATTCACAATTACTTCAAAGAGAATAAAATACCTAGGAATCCAACTTACAAGGGATGTGAAGGACCTCTTCAAGGAGAACTACAAACCACTGCTCAATGAAATTAAAGAGTATACAAACAAATGGAAGGACATTCCATGCTCATGGGTAGGAAGAATCAATATCGTGAAAATGGCCATACTGCCCAAGGTAATTTATAGATTCAATGCCATCCCCATCAAGCTACCAATGACTTTCTTCACAGAATTGGAAAAAACTACTTTAAAGTTCATATATATGGAACCAAAAAAGACCCCGTATAGCAAAGTCAATCCTAAGGCAAAAGAACAAAGCTGGAGGCATCACGCTACCTGACTTCAAACTATACTACAAGGCTACAGTAACCAAAACAGCATGCTACTAGTACCAAAACAGAGATATAGACCAATGAAACAGAACAGAGGCCTCAGAAATAATGCCTCATATCCACAACTATCTGATCTTTGACAAACCTGACTAAAACAAGCAACGGGGAAAGGATTCCCTATTTAATAAATGGTGCTGGGAAAACTGGCTAGCCATATGGAGAAAGCTGAACGTGGATCTCTTCCTTACGCCTTATAGAAAAATTAATTCAAGATGCATTAAAGACTTACACGTTAGACCTAAAACCAAAAAACCTAGAAGGAAACCTAGGCAATACCATTTAGGACATAGGCATGGGCAAGGACTTCATGTCTAAAACACCAAAAGCAATGACAATAAAAGCCAAAATTGACAAATGGGATCTAATTAAACTAAAGTGCTTCTGCACAGCAAAAGAAATCACCATCAGAGTGAACAGGCAACCAACAAAATGGGAGAAAAGTTTTGCAATCTACTCATCTGACAAAGGGCTAAGATCCATAATCTACAATGAACTCAAACAAATTTACAAGAAAAAAACAAACAAACCCATCAAAAAGTTGGCGAAGGATATGAACAGACACTTCTCAAAAGAAGACATTTATGCAGCCAAAAAGCACATGAAAAAATGCTCGTCATCACTGGCCATCAGAGAAATGCAAATCAAAACCACAATGAGATACCATCTCACACCAGTTAGAATGGCAATCATTAAAAAGTCAGGAAACAACAGGTGCTGGAGAGGATGTGGAGAAACAGGAACACTTTTACACTGTTGGTGGGACTGTAAACTAGTTCAACCATTGTGGAAGTCAGTGTGGGGATTCCTCAGGGATCTAGAACTAGAAATACCATTTGACCCAGCCATCCCATTACTGTGTATATACCCAAAGGATTATAAATCATGCTGCTATAAAGACACATACACTAGTATGTTTATTGCGGCAGTATTCACAATAGCAAAGCCTTGGAACCAACCCAAATGTCCAACAATGATAGACTGGATTAAGCAAATGTGGCACATATACACCATGGAACACTATGCAGCCATAAAATAGGATGAGTTCATGTCCTTTGTAGGGACATGGATGAAGATGGAAACCATCATTCTCAGCAAACTATTGCAAGGACAAAAAACCAAACACTGCATGTTCTCACTCATAGGTGGGAATTGAACAATGAGAACATATGCACACAGGAAGGGGAACATCACACACTGGGGACTGTTGTGGGGTGGGCGGAGGGGGTAGAGATAGCATTAGGAGATATACCTAATGCTAAATGACGAGTTAATGGGTGGAGCACACCAACATGGCACATGTATACATATGTAACAAACCTGCACATTATGCACATGTATCCAAAAACTTAAAGTATAATAATAATTTTAAAAAAAGAAAAGAAAAAAAAGAATTATCAGCATGCAATTCATCAAAAAGGAAGGAAATAAATTGTTTAAAGTACTCTGTGAAATTTTTGTCTGTTGGTAGGGGGTATACATTTTCTAGATAATTTATGATTGTCTTAGTTTATTTTGACTGCTATAGTAAAATAACGTAAACTGGTAGCTTATAAAATTAAATAAATAAATAAATAAATTTGTCTGTTCTTCTCTATTTTAGTCTAAGAATTTGAATCAATAGCAATTAAGATTGTTTACCTATGAATTTTGAAATGTTGATTCTACAACTCAAATCTGAGTATTCAGGAAGAGCCAAAAATAATGTAGTGGACTTAATGATAGTTATCAACACATATGAAATTATTAGAAATAAAAGAAAGTGACAGTAGAATAGGCAGAACAATCACTGCAAAAGGATAAAAAGTCCATGAAAACAATTCCATATCATCTTGGTAATATTTGAGAGGAGCAAACTGCCAATGTAACCTGCAATATTTTATATATTTTGTGTTAAAAAGAAACCCATAAGTAAAAGTCCATATATTTTATGACTCACGATGTGTATATAAGTTAATTGAAAAACGCGACAAAGAAACCCATCATACATTAGTGGCTAATTTGTGGGGTGGATTGTCAATGAAAAAATTTAACATCATTTATAATGTTTTGGGCCTTTTTAACACAGAAAATGCATTTATGTAGTTTTTTGCAATTAAAATTAATTTTATAATAAAAATAAGAGACGGTTTGTAAGAATATGGAGTCCTTTTCACATACTTAAATTTATTGAGTGATTACAATATATTATAAGTCGTTCTAAGCAACTTATGTGTACTAGTGAATTTAAATTTCATAGCAACTCTATGAAGCTCTCACAATGTCACACAGCTTGCAAAGTGTAGAACCAGGACTTGAATTCAGGCAATCTGGTTTCAGAGTCTGTCATCATAGCCACCCCACCACTGTATATATTAAACAGATTTATAATATTTTAATAGATTAAAGGTGAATAATCTTAAGAAAGCTATTATTAATGTTAGTATGAAAGATAATATGACAATAAAAATGCGGCCAAAATATATATAGAAAATTCAGAGCAGAAGAAATAAAAATGGCTGAGAGTGACATGCAATGATAAAGAAGTTTCACGATGGCTGAATATTGTAAAGATATTACTACAACTTAAGTTATTCTAAAATAATTAGGTAAAAAATCAATAGGCCATAGAATTTTCTTGTTGGAAACTGACAAGCTGACTGTCAAATTCAACTGGAGCAGAACATATGAAAGATTAAATCATGTTTTTAAAGACAAAAATGAGTAATAAATTTTCTTACACAAATAAAACATCATAAGAGCCCAGTAATTAACACAATGTAATATTGACACATAAATCAAAGGAACACAATAATTTTAGAAATCAATGTTACCTAAGCACTACTATACTTGCACAGAGATATATATTCAGTGATATTCACTATGTCAGTATTAGTAACTGTAAAACAAAATGTACATAGCTCAAATATTCATCAAGAAAAAATTGGTTAAGTGACTGTAAAACTCAACGATGGCACGTTATGCTATGCATAGAATCTCTATGTAATTACATGTTAATGCTCTACTACATAACATCAGTTGCAAAAGGAAAGTTACAGAACAATGTTAGTCCAGAGCTTATTGTGTCAGTTAAAGTCAAATTCCCTAGCCTTTCAAGGTATTAGTTATCTTTCTTGCACAATAAATATATAATGGGACCTACCTAATTGTGATACGGTTAATTCTTATTGACAAAACATACAAAGTGCTTAGTGTAGTGTGTTGCACAGAGTAGGCCCAACATAAACATTAGCTGTTAGTATTAATAATGGATGTAATATGTAAATATTAATGTTAGCGGGGAAATGTGGAGGTTAAAAGCAGAAAATCTTTCCTTCTATTCCCTTTCCCTCCCTTCCCCCACTTCTTCCCTTCTTTATTTTCTCTTATGTTCTTCCTAATTATATATAATTGTATCAATATATTTATAGTATAAAGTCAGAGATTAAAAAGAAGATTTTTCAGCCCTACCTAGCATTCAAGGATTCTAAGATCACTGAAAATCAGAATCCTGATAGTCTCTGAGTCTTGAGCAAATAAAAATTATTACCCTCTGGTTTTATCTTGGAAATATCTCTAAGGAAAATCCTTTATTTCCTGATTAAGGCTCATTATTTGGGCACTTTTGTGCAACTCCAGCATGCCACAAATGCTTTACTGACAGGTGGCCAGACTGCATACCACATGACCCCTATCCCCACTGCTCCTTGCCAGGTAGGGTACTTCAGCTTGGGCTCCCAGTGCAGCCAACCCACCCCTGCCTAACACTGCAGTCAGTCATGATTTTGTATTCCTCTGGGACCCAATTGCCCAGAGGTACCTGAAAGCCTTTCACCATCACCTATGCTGTTGCCCTTGCTCACACTGCCCTCAGGCCAGAGAGGGAATGAGGAGACTTGACATAGTTGTGCACAACCAGAATGGATTCTACAGCCAAGATATAAAGGAGGAGTGGGCAGACTGCACACCCCACAATTCCCCACCTCCACTACTCCCTGCCAAATGAGGCTTACCACCTTCTGGCACTCAGCCCACCCACTTTTCCCCCAAATGAGCATTTTAGTTGTGTCCCAGAGCCCTTCTGAAAACCCAGTCCCAACAGGCATGTGATATTCCCTTGGGCTCTCACCACCTAAGCATTTTGCCTTCCCCTTTCTGAGCATCTGGCCAGTGACCTGGGGATCAGCTTGCTCCTTCCCATCACAGCAAGCACTTCAATTCTGGGCTATCATGACCCTGCTCCATCCCCTTCAGGATTCAAACATGCTGTTCAGCTGGGAAGTGGATAACTATGTATCCATTTCCAATTCTGCTGTCACATAACCACATCCCCAGAGCTTGAGGTAATGTCAACTCAAACATCCAACATCGTGACAACCAACACCTATCTGCATGAGTTGAAAGATAGAGCCCTGCCTTTACACAAACCAGCAGTGCTATTACACTGGGGAACAGTCAAACTATAAAGCTATCTGTATTGGGCTGAGTAACAAGGTTCTACCCTGAAACCATTCCCACAGAGTCATTAAACAAGAGTTTCCTGTGGCCCTCAATAACATTGTGCTCTGGAGATAGACTACAGTGTGCATCTGAACTAAGAGTCACAAGCCTGGAACAGAATTTTGAGAGGAAAACATTTCATGTTCCTGCAGAATTAGGATTCTTGAAGAAATTGCAACCAAGAATTTCATATCTCACAAAACTAAGTTTCACAAATGATGGAGAAATAAAATGTTTTCCAGACAAACAATCACTAAGAAAATTTGTTACCACTAGGTCAGACTTACAAGGAGCACTTAAGGAAGTTTTAAACATGGAAATAGAAGAATGATACCTGCTATCACAAAAACACACTTAAGTACATATCTCACAGACCTCATAAAGCAATTACAAAGTCAACATTACAAAGCAACCAGTTAACTACTTCATGACCAAATCAAAATCTCAGATACCAGTATTAACCTTGAATGTAAGTAATATAAACATCCGCTTAAAAAGCACAGAGTGGCAAGGTGAATAAAAACACAAGACTCAACCATCTTGTGTATTTAAGATACAAATCTCACATGTAAACATTCATAGGCATAAAGTAATGGGTTGCAGGAATTGCTATTGTTATATTTGATAAAAGAAACGTTAAGCCAACAACAGTCAAAAGGGACAAAAAAGGATATTACATAATGATAAAGGGTTCAATTCAACAAGAATATTTAACTATGCTAAATATATACACACTCAATATTAGAGTACTTGGATTCATAAAACAAGCACTTCTAAACCTACAAAAAGACCTAGACATCCACACAATAATATTGAGAGACCTCAACACTCCACTGACAGTGTTGAACATATCCTTGAGGTGAAAAACAAAGAAATTCTGGACTTAAAGCTGACAATTGGCCAATTGGACTCAATAGACTTCTACAGAATACTTCACCCAAGAAATCACAGAATATACATTCTCCTCATCTGCACACAGAACATACTCTAAGATTTACCACTTGCTCAAGTATAAAACAAGGGTCAATAAATTCAAAAATATTAAAATCATACTAACTATGCTCTTGGGCCAAAATGAAATAAAAATATAAATCAATACAAGGAAGATCTCTAAAAACCACACAATTACATGGAAACTAAACAACTTGCTCCTAAATGACTTCTGGTTAAACAATAAAATTAAGGAAGGATAAAAAAGTTCTTAGAGATAAAATAAATAAAAACAGAGACACAACATACCAAAATCTCTGGGGTACAGCAAAACAGTGTTTAGAGGAAAGTTTATACTGCTAAACACCTACATCAGGAAGTTACAAATATCTCAAATTAAGAATTTAACATTGCATTTAGAAAACTAAAAAAAAAAAAAAAAAAAAAAAAAAAAAAAAAAACTAACCCCAAAGGTAACAGAAGAAAAGAAATAACTAAAATCAGCAGAACAGAATAAAATTGAGACCCAAAACTCCAAACATATGATTTGAAAAAAAAACTTGTTTTTTTTGTAAAGACAAATAAGATCAATACACCACTAGCTAAGTTAAAGAAAAGAAAGAAGATCCAAATAAGCACAATAAAAAATGACAAAGGTGACATTGCAAGCAACCCTACGGAAATTCAAAATATCCTCAGAGACTATTATGAATGCCTCTATGTGCACAAACTGGAAAAGATAGAGAAAATGGATGAATGCCTGGAAGCACACAACCTCCCAAGATTAAATCAAGAAGAAACTGAAACCCTGAAGAATCATATAATGAGTTCCAAATTTGAATCAATAATAAAAATCCAAGCAAAAAAAGTTCTGTACCAGATGAAGTCACACACAAATTTTATCAGGCATACAAAGAGAGCTGATACCAATCCTAACAAAACTATTCAGAAAAATCGAAGAGGAGAAACTTCTCCCTTTCATTCTATGAAGCCAGTTTCATAGTCTGGAAAACACAAAATAAAAAAGAAAATTACAGGCCACTGTCCCTGATGAACAAAGATGCAAAAATCCTCAGTAAAATACTAGCAACTAAATCCAGTAGCACACCAAAAAAACTAATTCACCACAATCAAGTAGGCTTTATTTTAGAAATGCAAGGTTGGTCCAACATATGCAAATCAATAAATATTAATCACTACATAAACAACAATAAAAACAAAAACTGTATGATTAAATAGGTGTAGGAAAAGCTCTTGATAAAATTCAACATTGTTTCATGATAAATACCCTCAACAAACCAGACATCAAAGGAACATACCTTAGAATAAGAGCCATCTATGACAAACCCACAGCCAACATCATAATAAACAGGCAAAAGGTGGATGCATTCTTCTAAAGATCTGGAACAAAACAATGATGCCCACTCTTACCATTCCTATTCAACATAGTACTGGAACTCCTAGCCAGAGCAATCAGACAAGAGAAAGAAATAAAAGGCATCCAAATAGAAAGAGAAGTCAAATTATCTCAATTTACTGATGACATAATTCTATGCCTAGAAAATTCTAAGGACTCCACCAAAACACTCCTAGTCCTGATGAACAACTTCAGTAAAGTTTTGGGACACAGAATCAATGTACAACTGTTAGTAGCATTTCTAAGCTAAGAGCCAAATCAAGAATGCAATCTCATTCATAATAACCATATCATGTAGAAACACACCTAGCTAAAAGGGGAAATATGTTTATGAGAAAAACTACAAAACACTGCTGAAATAAATCATAAATGTCACAAACAAATGGAAAAACATTTCATGCTCATGGAATCAAAAGTGAATTAATATTGATAAGTATTGTTAAAGAATCAATCAATATTGTTAAAATGGTCACACTACCAAAAGCAAACTACAGATTCAATGGTATTTCCTATCAATCTATTAACATCATTTTCCACATAATTAGAAAAAGCTGTTGTAATATTCACATGGAACCAGAAAATAGCCTGAATAGCTATAAGAAGAGTCAAAGAAATCCTGAACAAATTGAACAAAACTGGAGGCATGACATTACCTGTCTTCAAACTATACTACATGGCTACAGTAACCAAAACAGCATGGTAGTGATTAAAAAAAAAGACACATAAACCAATGGAATGGAATAGAGAATCCAGTAATAAAGCTTCTCACCTAAAACCATTTGATTTTCAACAAAGTTGACAAAAGTAAACAATGGGGAAAGGACCCCCTATTCAACAAATCATGCTGTAATAACCAGTTAACTATATGCAGAAGAATAAAATTGGACCCCTACTTTTAACCATATACAAAAACTAATTCATGGTAAATTTAATACTTAAAGATAATACCTAAAACTATAAAAATCCGGGAAAACATTTAGGAAACACCATTCTGGACATTGGCCGTGGCAACTAATTTATGACTAAGTGTCCAAAGCAGTAGCAATGGAAAAAAAATTGTCAAGTGGGACCTAATTAAACTTACGAGCTTCTGCACAGCAAAAGAAACTATGACTTGTACACCATAGGTGAGGAAATAAATTAGTTCAGCCACTGTGGAAAGCAGTTTGAAGATTCTTCAAAAAACTAAACATAGAACTACCATTTGACTGAGTAATCTTATTACTGGGTATATACACAAAGGAAAATAAGTAATTCTATTCAAAAGATATATCTGAGGGTTGGGGCCAAGATGGTCGAATAGGACCAGCTCCTGTCTGCAGTTCTCAGCTAGACCAATGCAGAAGGCAGGTGATTTCTGTATTTCCAACCGAGGTACCCAGTTCATCTCACTGGGACTCGTTAGGCAGTGGGTGCAACCCACGAGGGTGAACAGAAGCAGTGTGGGGCATCGCTTCACCCGGGAAGTGCAAGAAGACGGGAGAACCTCCCTCCCCCAGCCAAGGGAAGCCTTGAGAGACAGTGCTACCTGGCTGGAATACTATACTTTTCCCATGGTTTTTGCAATCTGCAGATCAGGAGATTCCCTCATGTGCCTGCACCACCAAGGTCCTGGGTTTCAAGCACAAAACTGGGCAGTTGTTTGGGCAGACACCAACCTAGCTGCAGGAGATTTTTTGCATACCTCAGTGGTGCCTGGAACCCCAGTGAGTCAGAACCATTCACTCCCCTGGAAAACGGGCTGAAACCAGGGAGCCAAGTGGTCTCACTCAGCGGGTCCCACTCTCATGGAGCCCAGCAAGCTAAGAACCACTGGCTTGAAATTCTCACTGCCAGCACAGTAGTCTGAAGTTGACCTTGGATGATCGAGTTTGATAGGGGGAGGGGCATCCACCATTACTGAGGCTTTAGTAGATGGTTTTCTCCTGACAGTTCTAAGGAGGCGGGGAGGTGTGGACAGGGTGGAATTTACCACAGCGCAGCAAAGCGACTGTGGCCAGACTGCTTCTCTAAATTCCTCCTAACTGGGCAGGGCATCGCTGAAGAAAAGGTAACAGCCCCAGTCAGGGGCTTACAGATAAACTCCCATCTCCCTGGGACAGAGCACCTGGGGGAGGGGTGGCTGTGGGTGCAGCTTCAGTGGATTTAATCTCTCCTGCCTGCTGGCTCTGAAGAGATCAGCTGATCCTGACAAGAGGGATTCTCCCAGCACAGTGCACCAGCTTTGTTAAGAAACAGACTGCCTCATCAAGTGGGTTCCTGACCTCCATACTTCCTGACTGGGAGAAACCGCCAAACAGGGTTAGAGAGACACCTCATACAGGAGAGCTCCAGCTGGCATCAGGTCGGTGTCAGTCTGGGACAAAGCTTCCAGAGGAAGGAGCAGGCAGCAGTCTTTGCTATTCTGCAGCCTCCACTGGTGATACCCAGGTGAACAGCATCTGGAGTGGACCCCTAGCAAACTGCAGCAGACCTGCAGAAGAGGGGTGTGACTGTTAGAAGAAAAACTAACAAACAGAAAGCAACATCAAAGTCAACAAAAAGACTCTCACACAAAAATCTCATTCAAAGGTAATCAGCCTCAAAGAGCAAAGGTAGATAAATCCACAAAGATGAGGAAAAACCAGCATAAAAATGCTAACAATTCCAAAAACCAGAATGCCTCTTCTCCTCAGAATGATCACAACTCCTCTCCAGCAAGGGCACAAAATTGGATGGAGAATAAGATTGACAAATTGGCAGAAGTAGGCTTCAGAAGGTGGGTAATAACAAACTCCTCTGAGCTAAAGGAGCATGTTCTAACCCAATGCAAGGAAGCTAAGAACCTTGATAAAAGGTTACAGGAGCTGCTAACTAGAATAACCAGTTTACAGAGGAATATAAATGACCTGATGGAGCGGAGAAACACAGCACGAGAACTTCACGAAGCATACACAAGTATCAACACCTGAATTGATCAGGCAGAAGAAAGGATATGAGAGATTGAACATCAACATACTGAAATAAGTCATGAAGACAAGATTGGAAAAAAAAGAATGAAAAGAAATGACCAAAGGCTCCAATACAAGTGAAACTGTGTTAAAAGACAAAACCTATGATTGACTGGTGTACCTGAAACTGACAGGGAGAATAAAACCAAGTTGGAAAACACACTTCAGGTTATTATCCAGGAGAACGTCCCCAACCTAGCAAGGAAGGCAAACATTCAAATTGAGGAAATACAGAGAAAATCACTAAGATACTCCTAGAGAAGAATAACCACAAGAAACATAATCATCACATTCTCCAAGGTTGAAAAGAAGGAAAAAAAGTTAAGGAAGCCAGAGAGAAAGGCAAAGTAACTTACAAAGGGAAGCCCATCAGACTAACAGCAGTTCTCTCTGCAGAAACCCTACAAGCAAGAAGAGAGTGAGAGGCCAGTATTCAACATTTTTAACGAAAAGAATTTTACACCCAGAATTTCATATCCAGCCAAACATAGCTTCATAAGCAAAGGATTAATAAAATTGTTTACAGACAAGCACATGCTGAAGGATTTTGTCACCACCAGGTCTGCCTCACAAGAGCTCCTGAAGGAAGCATTAAATATGGAAAGGAAAAACTGGTACCAGCCACTGCAAAAACACACTAAAAGATGAAGACCAATGACACTATGAAGAAACTGCATCAACTAATGTGCAAAATAAGCATTTAGCATCATGGTGACAGAATCAAATTCACACATAACAATACTAACCATAAAGGTAAATGGGCTAAATGCCCCAATTAAAAGACAGACTGGTAAATTGGATAAAGGGTCAAGACCCATCGGTGTTTTGTATTCAGGAGACTCATCTCACATGCAAAGACACACATAGGATCAAAATAAAGGGATGGAGGAATATTTACCAAGCAAATGGAAAGCAAAGAAAGCAGGGGTTGTAATTGTAGTCTCTGAAAAAACAGAGTTTAAACCAACAAAGATCAAAAAAGACAAAGAAGGACATTACATAATAGTAAAGGGATCAATGAAACAAGAAGAGCTAACTATCTGAAATATATATGCACCCAATACAGGAGCACCCAGATTCATAAAGCAAGTTCTATGAGACCTACAAAGAGACTTAGACTTCCACACAATAATAGTTGGAGACTTTAACACCCTACTGTCAATATTAGACAGATCAACAAGACAGAAAATTAACAAGAATATTCAGGACTTGCTGTAGACCAAGTGGACCTAAAAGACATCTACAAAACTCTCTACCCTAAATCAACAGACTATACATTCTTCTCAGCACCAGATAACACTTATTATAAAGTTGACCACATAATTGGAAGTAAAACATTCCTCAGCAAATGCAAAAGAATGGAAATCATAAGAAACAGTCTCTCAGTCCACAGTGCAATCAAACTAAAACTCAGGATTAAGAAACACACTCAAAACTGTACAACTACATGGAAACTGAACTACCTGCTCCTAAATGACTACTGGGTAAATAACAAAATTAAGGCAGAGATAAAAAAAATTCTTTGAAACCAATGAAAACAAAGAGACAATGTACCAGAATTTCTGGGACACAGCTAATAGAGTGTTAAGGGGGAAATTTATAGCACTAAATGCCCGTGTCAGAAAGTGGGAAAGATCTGAAATGGAAAACCTAACATCAGAACTAAATGAACTAGAGAAGCAAGAGCACACAAATTCAAAAGCTAGCAGAAGACAAGAAATAACTAAGACCAGAGCAGAAAAGGAGATAGAGATATGAAAAACCCTTCAAAAAATCAACGAATCTAGGAGCTGTTTTTTTGAGAAGATTAACAAAATAGATACACTTCTAGCCAGACTGATAAAAAAAAGAGAGAAGAATCAAATAGACACAATAAAAAATGATGAAGGGGATATCACCACTGAGCCCACAGAAATACAAACTACCATCAGCAAATACTATAACCAACTCTATGCAAATAAACTAGAAAATCTAGAAGAAGTAGATAAATTCCTGGACACATACATCCTCCCAAGACTAAACCAGGAAGAAGTTGAATCCCTGAATAGATCAATAACAAATTCTGAAATTGAGGCAGTAATTAATAGCCTAACAACGAAAAAAAAGGCCAGGAGCAGAGGGATTCACAGTCAAATTCTACCAGAGTTACAAAGAGGAGCTGGTACCATTCCTTCTCAAACTGTTCCAAAAAAATAGAAAAACAGGGACTCCTCCCTAACTCATTTCATGAGGCCAGCATCATCCTGATACCAAAACCTGGCAGAAAGGCAACAAAAGAAGAAAATTTCAGGCCAACATCCCTGATGAACATCGATGCGAAAATCCTCAATAAAATACTGGCAAACCGAATCCAGCAGCATATCAAAAAGCTTATCCACCATGATCAAGTCGCCTTCATCCCTGGAATGCAAAGCTGGTTCAATGTATGCAAATCAAGAAATGTAATCCATCACATACACAGAACCAATGACAAAAACCACATGATTACCTCAATAGATGCAGAAAAGGCCTTTGATAAAATTCAACATTGCTTCATGATAAAAACTCTTAATAAACTAGGTATTGATGGAACATATCGAAAAATAATAAGAGCTATTTATGACAAACCCATAGCCAATATCATACTGAATGGACAAAAGCTAGAAGCATTCTATTTGAAAACCGGCAAAGAGAAGAATGCCCTTTCTTTTTTTTTTCTTTTATTATTATACTTTAAGTTTTAGGGTACATGTGCACATTGTGCAGGTTAGTTTTCAAACCACTCCTATTCAACATAGTATTGGAAGTTCTGGCCAGGGCAATCAGGCAAGAGAAAGAAATAAAGAGTATTCTAATAGGAAAAGAGGAATGGAAATGGTCTCTGTTTGCAGATGACATGATTGTATATTTAAAAAACTCCATAGTCTCAGCTCAAAAACTCCTTAAGCTGAAAAGCAACTTCAGTAAGGTCTCAGAATACAAAATCAAAGCATTCCTAAATACCAATAATAGACAAGCAGAGAGACAAATCATGAGTGAACTCCCATTCACAATTGCTACACATGGAACAAAATACTTAGAAATACAACTTACAAGGGACATGAAGGACCTCTTCAAGGAGAACTACAAACCACTGCTGAAGGGAATAACAGAGGAAACAAACAAATGGAAAAACATTCCATGCTCTACGGATAGGAAAAATCGACATCATGAAAATGGCCATACTGTCTGAAGTAATTTATAGGTTCAGTGCAATTTCCATTAAACTACCCTTGACTTTCCTCACAGAATCAGACAAAAACTACTTTAAATTTCATATAGAACCACAAAAGACCCTGTATACCCATGACAATCCTAAGCAAAAACAACACAACTGGAGGCATCACACTACCTGACTTCAAAGTATACTACAAGCCTACAGTAAACACAACAGCATGGTACTGGTACCAAAACAGATATATAGACCAATGGAAACAGAACAGAGACCTCAGAAATAACACCACACATCTACAACCATCTGATCTTCAACAAACCTGACAAAAACAAGCAATGAGAAAACGATTCCCTATTTAATAAATGGTGCTGGGAAAACTGGCTAGCCATATGCAGAAAACTGAAACTAGACCCTTTCCTTAACACCTTACACAAAAATTAACTCAAGATGGATTCAAGACTTAAATGTAAACCCTATAATTTTAAAATCTCTAGAAGAAAACCTAGGCAATACCATTCAGAACAAAGGCATGAGCAAATAATTCATGACTATATCACCAAAAGCAATTGCAACAAAAGCCAAAATTGACAAATGGGATCTAATTAAACTAAGGAGCTTCTGCACAGCAAGAGAAACTAGCATCAGATTGAACAGGCAACCTAAAAAATGCGAGAAAATTTTTGCAATCTATCCATCTGACAAAGGCCTAATATCCAGAATCTACAAGAAACTTAAACAAATTTACAAAAAACAAAACAAAACAAAGAAATAATCCCATCAAAAAGTGAGCAAAGGATATGAACAGACACTTCTTAAAAGAAGACATTTGGCCGGGCGCGGTGGCTCACGCCTGTAATCCCAGCACTTTGGGAGGCCGAGGCGGGCGGATCACGAGGTCAGGAGATCGAGACCATCCCGGCTAAAACGGTGAAACCCCGTCTCTACTAAAAATACAAAAAAATTAGCCGGGCGTAGTGGCGGGCGCCTGTAGTCCCAGCTACTTGGGAGGCTGAGGCAGGAGAATGGCGTGAACCCGGGAGGCGGAGCTTGCAGTGAGCCGAGATCCCGCCACTGCACTCCAGCCTGGGCGACAGAGCGAGACTCCGTCTCAAAAAAAAAAAAAAAAAAGAAGACATTTATGTGGCCAACAAACATATGAAAAAAAGCTCATCATCACTGGTCATTAGAGAAATGCAAATCAAAACCACAATGAGACACCATCTCATGCAAGTTAGAATGGCGATCATTAAAGTCAGGAAACAACAGATGCTGGTGAGGCTGTGGAGATATAGGAATCCTTTTACACTGTTGGTGGGAGTGTAAATTAGTTTAACCATTGTGGAAGACAGTGTGGTTATTCCTCAAAGATCTAGAACCAGAAATACCATTTGACCCAGCCATCCCATTACTGGGTATATACCCAAAGGATTATAAATCATTCTACGATAAAGACACATGCACACATATGTTTATTGCAGCACTATTTACAATAGCAAAGACTTGGAACCAACATAAATGCCCATCCATGATAGATTAGATAAAGAAAACATGGCACATATATTTCATGGAATACTATGCAGCCATAAAAAAGAATGAGTTCATGTCCTTTGCAGGGAGATGGATGAAGCTGGAAGTCATCATTCTCAGCAAACTAACACAGGAACAGAAAATCAAACACTGCATGTTCTCACTCATACATGGGAGTTAAACAATGAGAACACATGGACACAGGGAGGGGAACATCACACACTGGGCCTTGCAGGGGATGGTGGCAAGGTGAGGGAGGTCATTAGGACAAATACCTAACGCATGTGGGGCTTAAAACCTAGATAAGAGGTTGATAAGGTGCAGCAAAGCACCATGGCACATGTATACCTATGTAATAAAACTGCACTTTCTGCACATGTATCCTAGAACTTAAAGTTAAAAAAATACATGCATGTATGTGTTCATGAGAGCACAATTTACAATAGCAAATACATGGAATCAACCTAGGTACTAAACAATGGTGGATTCAATAAAGAATATGTAGTACATACTATGGCATACTATCCAGCCATAAAAATGAATAAAATTATATTATTTGCAGCAACATAGATGCAGCTAGAGGCCATTATACTCAGCAAATTAATGAAAAAATAGAAAACCAAATACCACACGTTATCACTTATATGCGGGAGTTAAACTTTGGGTACACATGGACATAAAGATGGGATCAATGAACAATGGAGATTACTAGGGGTTAAGGGTTGAAAAACTACCTACTGGGTACTCTGATTACTACCTGGGTAATGAGATCAATTGTATCCCAAACCTCAGCACCATACTACATATCCATGTAAAAAACCTGCACATGTACCCCTTGAATCTAAAATAAAAGTTGATTTTTTTTTAAAAAGGCTCAATACTCATATTTAAATATTTTTCTCTTCTATCTTAGGCCCTAAACCAGGTGTGGCTTTTAGTCACCAAGCGTCTTTACTAAAATTAAGATAAACTTATCTTGAAATTTCTATCCCACCCACACACTTGGCTCCTCTCTGTCCTCCTAGGTTCCTTCTTATTTTCACTGTGAGAGCATAACTGCTCTAAAAATCACTATAGCACACTGCACCTGTACAGGTTAGTAGTGTGAGTCATTCATTGAAGCTGGTTATCAGTTCTGGCACATTTAGATGAAATTGTGATGCTTTGAAGAAGAAAAATAAATTAGCTCTCAGCTGAGGTGAAATGTGCAGCCGAGCACTTCAATGCTCAAACATAGTTTCTTACACTCAATTTCATTTGCTGTATCTCTAGGAGAAGGGGGGGTGGGTGGCGCTAGAAGTTGCACATTGTTCCACCATTTCCTCTTGCCTCATGGATATTGAGGGCTTGGGTTTGGGCACAAGGATTGGATCTTTGACCATAGGACAATAGGCAGAGACACTGGATCCTCTCAGAGTTGTCCTCTGGGCCCCTCTTCTCCTCCAACCATGACCCCAAACACACATGTGTAATCTTGCCCTCCTCAAGGTGTATCGTCAGAACTCTATTCCTCTGATTGGAGTATGTATAGGCACAAAATGGGTGCAGTCAGTCCTGCCTAGAAATGTTCCAAGATAGTGCACTTGTTTGTTTGTCAGAAGCCCTGGACTCTGTTTGAGCTCTTTACTAACCAAGAGTCTCTTACCTGCCCTGGGCTTCAATTTCCACTATTGATTAGTGATAGAAACTTTTTTTGGGGGGAGGGGTCAAGTTACTTCTTAGTACAAATAATACGTTGTATTAATCAATTTGTAAGTCAAATTCTGAAAATCATTCAAAAAAATTGCATTTTATAATTGTCAAACAATGCATTTATGTAATAGAAGATACAACAAAATTTAGAAATAAAAAATCTCACACTATACTCCAAATACTAAAATAAGAAAGAAGAAATTTGCAAATTAAGAAATTATCAGTGTTGCTCAGAAACATGCCTTTTACTCTGAAATTCACTTTAACTGCTTGATATATAATTTAATACTTAAAAATAATATAGCTAAGTTGTTTAATAGTGTTTATAGAATGTTACTTTTCTAGGTAGACATGTTTCACACAACAGTTTTCAATTAATACTGAGAATTCATTTGATATATATATATTTTTTTTTTTCAGACAGTCTTGCTCTGTCGCCCAGGCTGGAGTGCAGTGGCGTGATCTCAGCTCACCGCAACCTCCACCTCCCAGGTTCAAGTGATTCTCCTGCCTCAACCTCCTGAATAGCTGGGATTACAGGCGCGCACCACCACGCCCAGCTAATTTCTGTATTTTTTTAGTGGAGAGGGTTTCACCATGTTGGTCAGGCTGGTCTCGAGCTCCTGACCTCGTGATCGCCTGCTTCGGCCTCCCAAAGTGCTGGGATTACAGGCGTGAGCCATTGCGCCTGGCCTCATTTGATAATTTTAATCATAATTTATGATTCACTGATTAATGGATTAATAATTCAGTAATTTAGATGCCATAAGGACCATTGATAGGAATACTCTGATAGTTTCTCATTGTACAATCCTGCCCATTAGTAATACTAAGCCAAGAATCTGATAGCTATCCCACTCTGTTGAGTTACATGTTTCCATGTGTGTGATTGGTCAACAACAAAAAATAGATACACAAAGTCATGCTTTCTCCTTTTCCTTTTTCTTTTTTTTTTTTTTTTAACAAGCAGCTCAGTGATTTGGTAGGTTGGTTAGTACAATACAGAGAACATAGGGAGAAAGTATAAAATGGCACTTAACACCAATGTCAATACTTATCTCATTATGGTTGTAACTAAGGATATCATTAATATTTGTATTGTTTTTCTTTAGAACATAAATCAAAGTCATTAACTTGAACTTGAGGTTCATACACAATACACACACAACATTAAGCAAAATACTTAAGTAACATTACTTTTTAAAATATTGGAAACTGAATATCTGTGCTGATTTGTATTTTGACTTAATGGAACAAGAAGAAAACAACATTCAACTAGGGAGGGTTATGCTGATAATAAAGCTCTTAAATTTCAAAATGTCTTCCTCTCCCTTTGTACTTACCACAGGCTATACAATGTCCTGAGAGGATTCATTATGAGAAAAATGTCTATTACAGCTTTAATAACTTACTCTGAAAAAACCAATGAGAAAGCAAATTGGAAGGTGAGACTTCATCTTTGTTTTCATTAAGTGGTCTTAATTTTTCTTCTTATAGAAAAAGTTTAAATCAGTTTATTATAAATATATCTAAACCGTTATTTTTTGCAGCTTTCAGGTAAAGCCTAGCACTTCATTTATACAAAATCTGTGAGAAGACGTCAGTAGAAATCATCTAATTTGAAGTCGTGACATCATCCATTCAAGTCCTTGGCACAATCCCTCGCCAGTTAGAGCACAGCATGCCTGGGTATGCCACTGGTGATCTTTAATAGAAGTTAGCTTCAAAAACTGGGAGATTTCTGCTACAGTCATGCAGTCTTTAACATCTTGTTTATTAGCAAAAATCAGCAATGCACCTTTTCTTAGGTCCTCATGTGGTAACATTTTATAGCGTTCTTCTCTAGTTACAGAAATCCTCTCTCGGTAGTGTCCACAACTATTACAAACTCTGTGTTAATATATAAGTGTTCCAGGAAGAACGAAGAGATTCTTGGCCACCAATATCCCATATTAGGAAACGTGTATTATTAATCACTATCTCTTCTACATTACTTCCTACTACAAAAGATGTATGTACAACTTCATTCATAGAAAATTGATAAAGGTGGTAGTTTTCCCTGAATTATCCAGCTTAACAATGATAACTTTGTGCTCCTGGTGATTGAACAGTCTCCATATTCTGGTGAAGAGAATTCTCACAATCTCCGGCAGCCGCCCCCACCTTCAAACACCCGGGCCGCCTGGCCTCCCCGGGCTCAGGCTGAGGGGGAGGAGAGAGACGCGCTGGGGCCTCCGCCTCTGCTGCTGCTCCCGCGCTGGCCACAGGCCCACTTCCAGGGAACTGGAGGGAGGCCAAAGCCCAGGCCGCCCTGCCGCGCCCCCAGGCCCCGCTGCTGCCGCTGCCACACTCGCCTGGCTAGCGGACATCGCCGCCGCCATGTTGTCTACAACGAGCCTCACAGGCTACCGTCGTCCTCCCAGCTCCTCTTGGCGGCTACGGTGGCGATGACCCTATAGAACCTTTTGAGACGTGGCTGACATTACAGGATTCCAAGACCTTTATAAACAAGATGTTGCTCTTTACGCTGAGTTCTTCAAAAATCCATACCACGAGACAACCTTTGGATAATAAGCTTAGAGTAAGTGCTCTTGGTGAGGTCCCTCAGTCCTGCTATACATCCTTAGTCCATTTATTCTCTCACACTTTTAAGTAACTATTTTACACATCGTCTTTTGTCTTGAAATCTTTTTTCTTTTACTTTAAGTTCTGGGATACATGTGCAAAACGCACAGGTTTCTTACATAGGGATATGTGTGCCATGGTGGTTTGCTGCACCCGTTGACCTGTCCTCTAAGTTCCCTCCCCTACCCCTCACCCCCCAACAAGCCCTGTTGTGTGTTTTTCCCCACCTTGTCCATGTATTGCCATTGTTCAGCTCCCACTTATGAGTGAGAACATTGGGTGTTTGGTTTTCTGTTCTTGTGCTAGTTTGCTGAGGATGATGGCTTCCAGCTTCATCCATGTCCCTACAAAGAAGATAATCTCATTCTTTTTATGGCTGTGTAGTATTCCATGGTGTATATGTAACATATTTTCTTTATCCAGTCTATCATTGATGGGCATGTGGGTTGGTTTCATGGCTTTGTTATTGCAAATAGTGCTACAATAACCATAGGTGTGCATGTGCCTTTAAAGTAAAATGATTTATATTCCTATGGGCATATCTCCAGTAATGAGATTGCAGGGTCAAACGATATTTCTGGTTCTAGATCCTTGAGGAATCGCCATACTGTCTTCCACAATGGTTAAACTAATTTATGTTCCCACTAACAGTGTAAAAGCATTCCTATTACTCTACAGCCTTGCCAGCATCTATTGTTTCTTGACTTTTTAATACCTGTTTATACTCCTGTATTGGGTGCATATATATTTAGAATAGTTAGCTCTTTTTGTTGAATAAATCCCTTTACCATTAGTTTTGCCTTTCTTTGTCTTTTTTGATCTTTGGTTTAAACTCCTTTTTTTCAGTGACTAGGATTGTAACTCCTGCTTTTTATTGCTTTTCATTTCCTTAGAAGATTTTTCTCCATCCCTTTATTTTGAGCCTATGTGCATCTTTGCATGTGAGATGGGTCTCCTGAATACAGCACACCATTGTGTCTTGACTCTTTATCCAATTTGCCAGGCTGTGTCTTTTAATTGGGGCATTTAGCTCATTTACCTTTAAGGTTAGTATTGTTATGTGTGAATTTGATCATGTCATCATTATTCTATATGGTTTCTTTGCACATTAGTTGGTGGGTTTTTTTTTTATAGTATCTTTGATCTTTATATTTTGGCGTGTTTTTGCAGTGGTTCGTACCTGTTTTTGCTTTGCATATTTAGTGCTCCCTTCAGAAGCTCTTGCAAGGGAGGCCTGGTGGTAACAAAATCTTTCAGCATTTGCTTGTCTGGAAAGGATTTTATTTTTCCTTCACTTATGAAGCTTAGTTTGGCTGGATATAAAATCCTGCGTTGAAAATTATTTTCTTTAAGAATATTGAATATTGGCTGGCCCCCACTCTCTTCTGGCTTGTAGAGTTTCTGCTGAAGCTCCATTCTTAGTCTGATGGGCTTCCCTTTGTAGGGTACTTTGTCTTTCTCTCTGGCTGCCCTTAACATGTTTTCCTTCATTTCAATCTTGGAGAATCTGATGATTATGTGTCTTGGGATTAATCTTCTCAAGGAGTATCTTAGTTGTGTTCTCTGTATTTCTTGAATTTGCATGTTGGTCTTTCTTGCTAGGTTGGGGAATTTCTCTTGGATAATATCCTGAAGTGTGTTTTGCAGCTTGTTTCCATTCTCCCCATCTCCTTCAGGTACTCCAATCAATCGTAGGTTTGGTCTTTTTACAAAGTCCCATATTTCCTGGAGGCTTTGTTTGTTCCCTTTAATTTTTTTTCTCTAATCTTGTCTGCATGCCTTATTTCAGCAAGGTGGTCTTCAAACTCTGATATCCTTTCTTCTGCTTGGTCTATTCGCCTATTGATACTTCTGCATGCTTCAAGAAGTTCTCATGCTGTGTTTTTCAGCTCCATCAGGTCATTTGTTTCTCTCTAAACTGATTATTCTAGTTAGCAGCTCCTCTAACTTTTTATAAAGGTTCTTAGCTTCTTTGCTGTGGATTAGAACATGCTCTTTAGCTCAGCATAGTTTTTTATTATCCATCTTCTGAAGCCTGCTTCTGTCAATTCATTCGTCTCATTTTCCATCCAGTTCTGTGCCCTTGCTGGGAGACCGTGCAATCATTTGGAAAAGTCACTATAGCCTTTTGGGTTTTCACCTTTTTTTGTTGATTCTTTCTCATCTTTGTGAGTTTGTCTAGTTTCAATTTTGAGGCTTGTTGACCCTTGGATGAGGTTTTTATAGGGACTTTTTTTGTTGTTGATTCTTTTGTTGCCTTCTGTTTGTTTTTCTTTCAATCATCAGGTCTCTCTTCTGTAGGGCTGCTGTGGTTTGCCGGATGTTCACTTCAGGCCGTATTCATCTGGTTCGCTCCAGCACCTGGAGATGTCACTCAAGGAGGCTGGAGAACAGCAAAGATGGGTGGCTGCTCTTCTGAAATCTCTAATGTCAAGGGGCACCAACCTGATGCCAGTAGGATCACTCCTGTATAGGGTGTCTGACAACTCCTGTTGGAGGGTCTCACCAGGTTGGATGTCATGGGGAATAGGACCCTTTTAATGAAGCACTTTGACTGTCCCTTGATGGAGGGGGTGTGCTTCACTGAGGGGAAACCTACTCGTCTGGGCTTCCCGGATTCCTCAGAACTATTAGGAGGAAAGGCTAAGTCTGCTGGTCTGCAAAGACTGCGGCGGCCCCTCCCACCAGGGGCTCAGGCCCAGGGAGATCTGGCTTCTGTCCCTTAGCCTCTGGCTGGAGTTAGAGTTCCTGCAGGGAAGCCCCACTCAGTGAGAAAGGATAAGTCAGTTTCAGACCTGAAAAGGCGCTCTGGCCGCAGTCTGTCACTGTCAGTGTGTTGGGTTGTGAGGGACACTTATTGGGACCAAGCCGTCCAGCCTCCCCAGCTCCAGCAGGGAAAAAGCACGGCCCGGAGCTATAGAGATGGATTGCATGCTTTCCCTGCCCAGAGAGCTTAGTGTCTTAGACAATTGTGAATCCCAGTATTGGCTCCTGCCCCTCCCCAAGGGGCTCAAAGGGCTTAGACAGCAGGTAGTTGCAGCTGTGCTGCTGGTCGCCTTCCCCTCAGGAGCTCAGCATGCTTAAGCAAATTCTAGCTGAGAGGTGCTTGAGAATCTGCACGGCTATGGGTTGGGGCCCTCGGCCCTAGTGGTGTGGGTTTGCGAGTGGGATCTTCTGATCTGTGGGTTGCACAGTTCTGTGGAAAAAGCATGGTTTCCCTGGCTGGGTGGGATACTTACCACCACTCTTGGCTTGGGTGTGGGGGCTCCTATGCCTCATGCTGCTCTCAGGTGGCCACTGCAGGACGCTGCTCTTTCTTCCTCTCCATGGATCACGCCAGCTGCTTTATCAGTTCTGGTGAGGGAACCTGGATATCTTGGTTGCTGGTGAAGGATTCACATGCTAATTATGGTTCTTTCCGATGGGAGACTCTGATCGCTGCTGTTTCTCGTCAGCCATCTTGGCCCCACTCCAGTAATTTCCTTTTGATCCCACCCCAATAAATTTCTGTCCTGGAAGCTTTAACATCCTTTTTATTTTCACTCTCAATTGACGACCTTATCTCCTATTGTACTAAGAATACAGATACAATTAAAAGTGAATATCACACATACTCCTATCACTGTGTCTACAAACATATGAGATATACACCCATATATTCTTCCACCTCACATGCTATTACAAATTAACTCTCCAGCAAAAGCCAGAAATCCATTTTTGCACTATATTCCATTCTATCCCTTTTCTTTCTCTCTCTCTTATATACCACCTCCACAGCATACAGGAAGGCTTATTTTTCCTTTCTAAACAAGGAAGTCTTCCTCTAATTATTCCTCACATGTCTCTGTTTTGTTTATAGTAAAGCTCCTCAATACGACCGGACGCGGTGGCTCATGCCTGTAATCCCAGAACTTTGGGAGGCTGAGGCGGACGAATCACAAGGTCAGGAGTTTGAGACCAGCCTGACCAACATGATGAAATGCCGTCTCTATTAAAAATACAAAAAATTAGCTGGGCATGGTGGCGGGCGCCTGTAATCCCAGCTACTAGGGAGGCTGAGGCAGGAGAATCACTTGAACCCGGGAGGTGGAGGTTGCAGTCAGCCAAGATCGAGCCACTGCACTCCAGCCTGGGTGACAGTGCAAAACTCCATCACACACACACACACAAAAATTGTGTAAATAAAAGTTTGCTACTTTTTTTTTTCCAATTCTCTCAAGCAAGGCCCTTGATTTACCCTACTGTTGTTTCCACTACATTAATTAGCCCAGCATTTCCTTCTGTGTTATCTTTCTTTTTTTTCCCCCTGAGATGGAGTCTTGCTGTGTCACCCAGGCTGGAGAGCAGTGACATGATTTTGGCTCACTGCAACTTCCGTCTTCGTGGTTCAAGCAATTCTCCTTACCTCACCCTCCCGAGTAGCTGGGATTACAGGCACCTGCCACCATGCCTGGCTAATTTTTGTATTTTTTAGTAGAGACAGGCTTTCGCCATGCTGGCCAGGCTGGTCTTGAACTCCTGACCTCAGGTTATCCACCTGCCTAGGCCTCCCAAAGTGCTGGGATTACAGGCGTGAGCCACTGCACCTGGCCCTGTGTTATCTTTAACTCACTGTCTTCCATATATATGTGCCAGTGGTTCTCAAAGTATGGTTTCCAGGCCTGCAACATCATTATCACCTGGGAACTTGTTAAAAATATGAATTTTATGGATCCATCTCCAACCTTTAATATCAGAAACTCTAAGAATACTACTTTGCAGAAGTAGGCTTCAGAAGATATGTAATAAAAAACTATGCTGAGCTAAAGGATCATGTTCTAACCCAATGCAAAGAAGCTAATTTCTCAGCAATTTGTATTCTAACAAGTCCTTCAGGTGACTTTGGTTCATGCTAATGTCTGATAATCATTTTCCTACAAGGAATTTAATAAATATTCTCATTGTGGTTGCCACTTTGATGGGGAAAGGGCAGATTCTATAAAGAAAGCAATGAAGAGACTGAATCCTAAAGGTGTAGCTTCTTGGCACCTGGCTGTGAAATGTCTTCTTTCAGAAAAAAGAGAAGCTAGGCACAAAAAAAGTGTATTAAGTTGGTGGTAGAAATGGAGATTTGCTATGGTTCTACCATTGTTGCTTGCCCAGATCTACATGGGCTGATAGTCTAAGAACCTTTCTGTAGCATCTAGAAGCATCCTTGCTAGGGTCACTTAATGCCATTAAAGAAAAAATTTAGGTACTATAGAACAGGGACTATCATTGTAAGGTAGGAAGATATAGGAAGAAATGAACTTTTAAAAATTGTCCAAAACCTTGATACTTAGCTTATTCATCCATGATAGAAACTCAAAATGTTTTTCCTCTTAGGAAACCCTAAAATTCACATGGGTCTAGGTGCTCCATTTATTTGAGAATAACTATGGAGACCCTGTGGAATCTATATGCTGCTTTATAAGATCCTCAGAAATTTCTGCCTCACTTTTTCTTCAGGATGTTGGTGTAAAGCATGAATAATCAGCACATTGCCATCTGATTTCATGAGGTTAAAAAGGGTTCCCCACACACAGGAAGGCTGTGTCATTTCAAAGTCCTATTCCTTGTCTTCCTGTCTACATATTTTCATGAGTAGACTAGTGAATACACATGAGGGATAGTTGAGAGTCTTCTGACTTGCCTTTCTTAATTAAACAATATTCTATTTTACCTTGCTTTTCCCATTTATTTCTAGTCTTCTCCTTAGATTAAGTCACCTACTCTACAGTCCTAAGGCTCCTTTCTTTTCTCATGTAGAATCATTGCAAATGTGGAAGATGACTGACTTTGTAATAATGACATATAATAGTGTTTGTAATTCTAGCAGTTCTAATTTTATTTCTAAATTTATTTCCTGAGGAATCTCAGTTAACTTCTCTGCCTCTTATTTCCAGTCAAGGAGGTAAAGGGAACAGTAGTGCCTTCAAAGTTGTCTCTGTTCATCTAAATTTTCCTCTGAAAGGTTTTTTACTCCTCATCCACAAAAGTTATGTCATGATCTTTTCATAGTTTTCATACTTATTACACTAAACTTGCCCCCTTATTCTCAGCAGTAACTTCAACACTCATTCTCAAATAAAATAGCCAGTAGGTGGGAACAAGTATTTGCTTCTTTCTTGGAAAAATGCTATCCTTTTTCTTTCTATTTAAGTGTAATCACATTACCAGTGCACTGGAAAGTGATCACTCTGACTTGTGATTATGTTATTGCCTAGCATCTTAGAAATTAATTTATTTATCTTTAATATTTTTATTTCCATAGGTTTTTGAGAAACAGGTGGCATTTGGTTACACAAGTAAGTTAGTTGGTGGTGATTTGTGAGATTTCGGTGCACCCATCACCTGAGCAGTACACGCTAAACCCAATTTGTAGTCTTTCATCCCTCACCCCCTTCCCACCCTTTCCCCCGAGTCCCTTAAGTGTATTGTATATTCTTATGCCTTTACATTCTCATAGCTTAGCTCCCACTCATGAGTTAGAACATATGATGTTTGGTTTTTCATTCCTAAGTTACTTCACTTAGAATAATAGTCTCCAGTTCCATCCAGGTTGGAGCGAATGCCATCAATTTGTGTTTTCTTTATGGCTGAGTACTATTCCATTATATATATCAATCACAATATCTTTATATGTATAAAGAATAGAATACTATATATATATTCTAGTTATATATATATTCTATATATAGAATATATATATTTATAGAATATAACATATTCTATAAATAATATATTTATAGAATATATATATATATTATAGTTAGCAGCTATTCTAACTTTTTATCAAGGTTATTAGCTTCTTTGCATTGGGTTGGAACATGCTCCTTTAGTTCAGTGTAGTTTTTTATTACCCACCTTCTGAAGCTTACTTCTGTCAATTCATTCATCTCATTTTCCATCCAGTACTGCACCCTTGCTGGAAAGATGTAATTATTTGGAGATGAGGCACTCTAGCCTTTTGAGTTTCAGCATTTTTGTTGTTGTTGATTCTTTCTCATCTTCGTGAGTTTGTCTAGTTTCAATCTTTGAGGCTGCTGACCCTTGGATGGGGTTTTTGGGGATATGTGTATATATATATATATATATATATATATATATATATATATATATATATCACAATTTCTTTATCCACTTGTTGATTAATGGGCTGGTTCCATGTTTTTGAAATTGCAAATTGTGCTGCTATAAACATATGTTTGCAAGTATCTTTTTCATACAATGACTTCTTTTCCTCTAGGTAGATGCTCAGTAGTGGAATTGCTAGATCAAATGGCAGATCTACTTTTTGTTCTTTAAGGAATCGCCACACTGTTTTCCATAGTGGATGTAGTAGTTTACATTCCCATCAGCAGTGTGAAAGTGTTCCCTGATCACCACATCCACGCAAACATCTACTGTTTTTTGATTTTTTGATTATGGCCATTCTTTTATTATTATTATTATTATTTTTATTGTACGTTAAGTTCTAGGGTACATGTACACAACGTGCAGGTTTGTTACATATGTATACATGTGCCATGCTGGTGTGCTGCACCCATTAACTCGTCATTTACATTAAGTATATCTCCTAATGCTATCCCATCCCCCTCCCCCCACCGCACGACAGGCCCCGGTGTGTGGTGTTACCCATCCTGCGTCCAAGTGTTCTCATTGTTCAATTCCCACCTATGAGTGAGAACATGTGGTGTTTGGTTTTCTGTCCTTGCGATAGTTTGCTCAGAATAATGGTTTCCATCTTCATCCACATCCCTACAAAGGACATGAACTCATTTTTTATGACTGCATAGGATTCCATGGTGTATATGTGCCACATTTTCTTAATCCAGTCTATCATTGATGGACATTTGGGTGGGTTCCAACTCTTTGCTATTGTGAATAGTGCCGCAATAAACTTACGTGTGCATGTGTCTTTATAGCAGTATGATCTATAATCCTTTGGGTATATACCCAGTAATGGCATTGCTGGGTCAAATGGTATTTCTAGTTCTAGATCCTTGAGTAATTGCCACACTGTCTTCCACAATGGTTGAAGTAGTTTACAGTCCCACCAACAGTGTAAAAGTGTCTCCTATTTCTCCACATCCTCTCCTGTACCTGCTGTTTCCTGACTTTTTAATGATCGCCATTCTAACTGGTGTGAGATGGTATCTCATTGTGGTTTTGATTTGCATTTCTCTGATGGCCAGTGATGATGAGCATTTTTTCATGTGTCTGTTGACTGCATAAATGTCTTCTTTTGAGAAGTGTCTGTTCATATACTTCACCCACTTCTTGATGGGTTTTTTTTTCTTGTAAATTTGTTTGAGTTCATTGTAGATTCTGGATATTTGTCAGATGGGTAGATTGTAAAAATTTTCTCTCATTCTGTAGGTTGCTTGTTCACTCTGATGGTGGTTTCTTTTGCTGTGCAGAAGCTCTTTAGTTGAATTACATCCCATTTGTCAATTTTGGCTTTTATTGCCATTGCTTTTGGTGTTTTAGTCACGAAGTCCTTGCCCATGCCTATGTCCTGAATGGTATTGCCTAGGTTTTCTTCTAAAGTTTTACGGTTTTAGGACTAACATTTAAGTCTTTAATCCATCTTGAATTAATTTTAGTATAAGGTGTAAGGAAGGGATCCAGTTTCAGCTTTCTACATATGGCTAGCCAATTTTTCCAGCACCATTTATTAAATAGGGGATCCTTTCCCCATTTCTTGTTTTTTCAGGTTTGTCAAGGATCAGATGGTTGTAGATGTGTGGTATTATTTCTGAGGACTCTGTTCTGTTCCGTTGATCTATATCTCTGTTTTGGTCCAGTACCATGCTGTTTTGGTTACTGTAGCCTTGTAGCATAGTTTGAAGTCAGGTAGTGTGATCCCTCCAGATTTGTTCTTTGGCTTAGGATTGACTTGGCAATGCGGGCTCTTTTTTGCTTCCATATGAACTTTAAAGTAGTTTTTTTCCAATTCTGTGAAGAAAGTCACTGGTAGCTTGATGGGGATGGCATTGAATCTATAAATTACCTTGGGCAATATGGCCATTTTCATGATATTGATTCTTCTTGTCCATGAGCATGGAATGTTCTTCCATTTGTTTGTGTCCTCTTTTATTTCTCTGAACAGTGGTTTGTAGTTCTTCCATTTGTTTGTGTCCTCTTTTATTTCACTGAGCAGTGGTTTGTAGTTCTTCTTGAAGAGGTCCTTCACATCCCTTGTAAGTTGGATTCCAGGTATTTTATTCTCTTTGAAGCAATTGTGAATGGGAGTTCACTCATGATTTGGCTCTCTGTTTGTCTGTTATTGGTGTATAGGAATGCTTGTGATTTTTGTACATGGATTTTGTATCCTGAGAATTTGCTGAAGTTGCTTATCAGCTTAAGGAGATTTTGGGCTGAGATGATGGGGTTTTCTAAATATACAATCATGTCATCTGCAAACAGGGACAATTTGACTTCCTCTTTTCCTAATCGAATACCCTTTATTTCTTTTGCCTGCCTGATTGCCCTGGGATTATGGCCATTCTTACAAGAATAAGGTGGTATCGCTTTGTGCTTTTGATTTGAATTTCCCTGATCATTAGTGATGTTGAGAACTTTTTCTTTTTCTAGTGGACCATTTGTATATCTTCTTTTGAGAATTGTCTATTCATGTCCTAAGCCCATTTTTTGATGGGATTGTTTGTTTCGTTCTTGGTGATTTGTTTGAGTTCGTCGTAGATTCTGGGTATTAGTCCTTTGCAGATGTGTAGATTGTTGAGATCTCCCATTCTGTGGGTTGTCTTTTTACTCTGCTGTTTCTTTGCTGTGCAGAAGCTCTTTCGTTTAATTAAATCCCTCCTATTTATCTTTGTTTTTGTTGCATTTGCTTTTGGGTTATTGGTCATGAAATCCTTGCCTAAGCCAATTTCTAGAAAGATCTTTCTGATGTTATCTTCTGGAATATTTATGGTTTCAGGTCTTGGAGTTCAGTCCTTGATCCACCTTGAGTTGATTTTTCTATAAAGTGAGAGATGAGGATCCAGATTTATTGTCCTACGTGTGGTTTGCCGATTATCCCAGCACCATTTGTTGAATAGGGTGTTTTTTCCCCACTTTATGGTTTTGTTTGCTTTCTCCAAGATCATTGGCTGTAAGTATTTGGGTTTATTTCTGGGTTCTATACTCTGATCCATTGATATATATATGCCTATTTTTATACCTGTACCATGCTGTTTTGGTGATTATGGCCTTATAATATAGTTTGAAGTCAGGTGTTGTGATGCCTCCAGATTTGTTCATTTTGCTTAGATTTAGTTTGGCTATGCGGGCTTTTTTTTGGTTTCATATACATTTTAGGACTTTTTTTTGTAGTTCTGTGAAGAATGATGATGGTATTTTTATGAGAGTTGCATCGATTTTGTAGATTGCTTTTTGCAGTATGGTCATTTTCACACTATTAATTCTACCCGTCCATGAGCATGGGATGTGTTTCCATTTGTTTGTGTCATCTATGATTTCTTTCAGCAGTGTTTTCTGTTTTTTTTTTTTTTTCTTGTAGGGGTCTTTCGTGTCCTTGGTTAGGTATATTGTTATGTATTTTCTTTCTTTTTTTGCACGTATTGTAAAAGGGGTTGAGTTCTTGACTTGATTCTCAGCTTGGTCACTGTTGGCGTGTAGCAGAGCTACTGATTTGTGTACATTAATTTTGCATTCTGAAAGTTTGCTGAATTGATTTATCAGTTGGAGGAGCTTTTTGAAGAAGTATTTATTTTCTAGGTATACAATAATATAATCAGAAAACAGCGACAATTTTGCTTCTTTTTTACCGATTTGGATGTTCTTTATTTCTCTTGTCTGATTGCTCTGGCTAGGACTTCCAGTAATATGTTGAAGAAGAGTGGTGAGAGTGGGCATCCTTGTCTTGTTCCAGTTCTCTGAGGGAATGCTTTCAACTTTTCCCCATTCAGTATTATGTTGGCTGTGGTTTGTCATAGATAGCTTTTGTCATAGATGAGGTGTGTCCTTTGCTGATTTTGCTGAGGGTTGTAATCATAAAGCAATGCTGAATTTTGTCAAATGCTTTTCTGAATGTCTTGAGATAATGTGATTTTTGTTTTTAATTCTGTTTATGTGGTGTATCACATTTATTGACTTGAATATATTAAACCGTTCCTGCACCCCTGGTATGAAACCCACTTGTTCATGGTGGATTATCTTTTTGATATTCTCTTGGATTCGGTTAGCTAGTATTTTATCCATAATTTTTGCGTCTATGTTCATCAGTTATGTTGGTCTTCGGATTCCTTTTTTTGTTATGTCTTTCTCTGATTTTGGTCTTATGGTAATACTGGCTTCATAGAATGATTTAGGGAAAATTTTATCCTTATCTATCTTGTGAAATAGTATCAATAAGATTGGTACCAATTGTTCTTTAAATGTCTGATTAAATTAAGCTGTGAATACCTGTTCTCCTGGGTTTTTTTGTTGGTAATTTTTATTACCTTTTCAATTTCGCTGCTTGTTATTGTTTTGTTCAGGGTTTTCAATTCTTCCTGATTTAAGTTAGGAGGGTTGCATATTTCTAGAAATTTATCCATCATCTCTAGGTTTTCTAGTTCATTCATGTAAAGGTGTTCTTAGTAGCCTTGAGTAATCTTGTATTTCTGTGATGTCAGTTGTAATGTCTCTCATTTCCTTTCTAATTGAGCTTATTTGAATCTTCTCTCTTCTTTTCTTGGTTAATCTTGCTAATGGTCTATCAATTTTATTTATCTTGTCAAATAGCCAGCTTTTTGTTTTATTTAATTTTGTATTTTTTGGTTTCAGTTTTATTCACTTCTGCTCTGATCTTGGTTATTTCCTTTTCTCTGCTGGGTTTGGGTTTGGTTTCTTCTTGTTTCTCTAGTTCCTTGAGGTTTGACCTTAGATTGTCTATTTGTGCTATTTCAGACTTTTTGATGTTAGCATTTAAGGCTATAAACTTTCCTCTTAACACTGCCTTTGCTGTATCCAATAGGTTTTCATAGGTTGTGTCACTATTATCGTTCAGTTCCTAGAATTTTAAAATTTCCATCTTGATTTCATTGTTGACCCAATGATTATTCAGGAGCAGGTTATTTAATTTCTATGTATTTGATATCCATTTTTGTTCCACTGTGGTCTGAGTGCTTGATATAATTTTAATTTACTTAAATTTATTGAGACTTGTTTTGTGGCTACTGCATCATCTATGTTGGAGAAAGTTTCATGCACTGATGAATAGAATGTATATTCTGTGGTTGTTGGGTAGAATGTTCTGTAAATAACTGTTAAGTCATTTGTTCTAAGGTATAGTTTAAATTCATTGTTTCTTTGTTGACTTTCTGTCTTGATAACTTGTCTAGTGCTGTCAGTAGAGATTGAAGTCCCACACTATTATTGTGTTACTGTCTATCTCATTTCTTAGGTCTAGTAGTAATTGTTTTATAAATTTGGGAGCTCCAGTGTTAGGTGCACATATATTCAGGATTGTGATATTTTCCTGTTGGATAGGCCTTTCATCGTTATTTAATATCCCTCTTTTTTCAACTGCTGTTGCTTTAAAGTTTGTTTTGTCTGATACGAGAATAGCCATTCCTGCTCTCTTTTTGTATCCTTTCGCATGGAATGTCTTTTTCCACCTTTTTAACTCAAGTTTATGTGAGTCCTTATGTGTTAGATGAGTAACTTGAGGGCAGCAGATACTGCCCTCAAGAGGCCTTACCCATGGGTAAGGCCTCAATGCTTATCCATTCTGCCATTTTGTATCTTTTAAGTGGAGCGTTAATGCCATTTACATTCAATGTTTGCAATGAGATGTGAGGTGGTGTTTCATTCATCATGCTATTTGTTGCCTGAATACCTTCATTTTATTTTGTTTATTGTATTTTTGTTTTATATGTCTTGTGAGACTCATGCTTTTTTTTGATGTGTTTCCAGGATTCATTTCAAGATTTAGGGCTCCTTTTATTGGTTCTTGTAGTGCTGGCTTGGTAGTGGTGAATTCTCTCAGCATTTGCTTGTCTGAAATAGACTGTACCTTTCCTTCATGTATAAAGCTGTTTTGCTGAATACAAAATTCTTGGCTGATAATTGTTTTGTTTAAGGAGACTGAATATAGGGCCCCAATCCCTTCTAGCTTGTAGGGTTTCTGCTGAGAAATTTGCTGTTAGTCTAATAGGTTTTTCTTTATAGGTTACCTGGTGCCTTTGCCTCATAGGTATTACGATTATTTCCTTCGTTTTGACTTTAGGTAACCTGATGACTATATGCCTAGGCAATGATCTTTTTTTGATGAATTTGTCTGGTGTTCTTGGAGCTTCTTGTATTTGGATGTCTAGATCTCTAGCAATTCTGGGCAAGTTTTCCTCAGTTATTTCCCTAAATGTGTTTTCCAAAGTTTTGGACTTCTCTTCTTTTACAGGAATGCCAATTATTCTTATGTTTGGTCATTTAATATAGTCCCAAACTTTTTGGAGGCTTTGTTTATGTTCACTTTTTTTAAAGTTCTCATTTCTTTGTCTTTGATGGATTGGGTTATTTCAAAAAGTTTGTCTTTGAGCTCTGAAGTTCTTTCTTCTGCTTGTTTAATTCCATTGCTGAGACTTTCCAGTAAATTTTGCATTTCTGTAAGTATGTCTTTTATTTCCTGAAGTTGTGAATGTTTTATATTTATGCTAATTCACTGAAGGTTTCTCTCCTCATACCTTGTATCATTTTTTAAAAATTTCCTTAAGTTGGGCATCACCTTTTTCTGGTGCCCCTTTCTTTGATTAGCTCAATAATTGACCTTCTGAATTCTTTTTCTGGCAATTCAGGGATTTTTTCTTGTTTTGGATCCATTGCTGGTGAGCTAGTTTGATTTTTTTGGTGGGCATTAAAGAACCTTGTTTTGTCATATTATCAAAATTGTTTTCTTGTTTCTTCTCATTTGAGAGGTCTATGTCAGAGGGAAGATTTGGGGCTCAAGGGCTGGTGTTCAGATTCTTTTGACCCACAGTGTGATCCTTTGATTCAGTACTCTCCCCCTTTTCTTTGGGATGTGGCTTCCTGAGAGCAAACTGTAGTGATTGTTATTTCTTTTCTGGATCTAGCCACCCAGCATAAGTGCCAGGCTTTGGGCTGTTTTTTTTTGTCAGGGGGTGTACAGAGTCCTGTGATGTGAACCATATTCAGGTCTCTCAGCCATGGATACCAGCATCTGCTCTGGTGTAGGGGGCAGGGGAGTAGAATGGGCTCTGTGTTGGTCTTTAGTTGTAGTTGTTTAGTGCACTAGTTTTGTGCTGGTTGGCCACTTGCCAGGAGGTGGTGCTTTCAAGAAAGCATCAGCTGTGGTAGTATAGGGAGGATCAGGCAGTGGGTGGGGCCCTAGAACTCCCAAAAGAATATGATTTTTTACTTCAACTACCAGGGTCGGTGGGGAAAGACCATGGTGGGACAGGGTTAGGTGTATCTGAGCTCAGACTCTCTGGGTTGGGTTTGTTGTGGCTGCTGTGCAGGACGGGGTGTGGTTCCCAGGACAATGGAGGTACGTTCTCAGGAGGATTATGGCTGCCTCTGCTGCGTCATGCAGGTTGTCAGGGAAGTCGGGGAAAGCTGTCCGTCACAGGCCTCACCCAGCTCCCATGCAACCCAAAAGACTGGTCTTACTCCCACCCTGCCCCAACCAACAGCACCAACTTTGTTTCCAGGTAGTGAGTGAGCAGGATGATAACTTGTCCTAGTCTAGCAGCCTCCCAGCTGAGAAAGCAAGCAAGGCTTTCACACCTCCTTCACCTGTAGAGTCTGCACACCAGACTCACACCCTCCCCGAGTTCTGGACAGGAAGCTTCACATCCGGTTGTAATTGTTAGAAAGTTCAACTAAAGGTTTTCTTGTCCCTGTGGTCTTTTCCTAGTTCCTCTGGTAGCCCTCCCCAAGGATGCCTGTGAGACAAGTGAGAAATGTCTTCCCTGGGGATTCAGAGAGCCCACAGGTCTTTTCCCACTGTTTTCTCTACCCCTGTATTTCGCTCAGCTCTCTACATTGTCTCTGCTCCAGATAAGATCAAATCCTTCTCTCATGACCTGGACCTTCAGATTCCCCACTGAGGGTGTGTGTTCAGGGGTGGATGACCCCCTTTTACTGCCTTCATAGTTTGGGCACTCACAGTATTTTGCTGTCTCCCAGGTCCTGCAGGAGCAATCCACTTCCTTCAAAGGGTTTGTGGATTTTCTCTGCTTTCCTGGTATATTTCCCCAGTAGTTCTTGGAGCAAAAGTTCACAATGTGAATCTCCACACGCTGCTCTGTCCATCCGAGTGGATGCTGCAATTTAGTCCTTCCTCCTATCCATCATTTTTTTTCTCCTTCTCATGTCTTATACATTTAATCTCTCTTTCTTGGTTTCTCTGTCTTTATGTCTCTCTTCATCTTTCTCTAGGCTTCTTGCCATTCTCAATTAAACTCCTTAAAGGTCTTGCATTTGAAATTTGAAATAAATAAACTTTTGCCAGTCACATATTTCTGAATAGCTAATTGCCTATATCTCCTTCATTTAATAAGTAATGTCTTAAAACTAAATGATTTTATTCATGTTCTCTATCTTTCTCATTTTCTACTGAATTATCAAGTAAATGCAACCTGACAATCTCTCTATCTTTCAGAGGTAGAGGATAAAGTTTTCCTGTGGTTGGATGTTGCGATGCCCTATAAATGCCATCATATTCCCCCACCAGGCTATTCCCTGCCCTGTAAGTTTCTCTGAATTTTACACAGAGGCAAGAATAATTAAACTACAATCAAAATAGTCCTCAGGGACTACTGAGATAGTTCCAGGGAGAGTGCTGTTTAATGCTAATTTAGGGTCACAGCTAAGGTGCAGCATTTACTTAGGCCAAATTTAGGCATAACTCTTGAGATGTATAGCCCACTCACTGGCCTCATGGAAGAAATAACTTAAAGAGCTAATAGTGGCCCTTTGAACAATAGTGATAGATGTGTAAAGAAAGCAGCCTGTGTCTTCACTGACCCATACAGCCAAGTAGGTAGAGGAGGTAGAGATCAGAGATGAATGACCAGGACTATTCCAGACAAGGCAGACTTTTGTACAATCCGTTCAGTATATGGAGGCAGAAAGAACTAAATACAAATACCTTTTGGATACGTTTCTAGCACCTTAACTGTTTATTTTCTTGATGATCTAGTTGCTTTTTATCTTTCCAGTTTTTTTCTCTGGCAACCAAACTCCAAGCAGCATTCAGTCATTTTGAGATACTCATCATTACTCAAATGCTTTCTTCCACTTGTCAGTGGTGTCTTTATGAAGAAATTTATTTTCTTTCACCTGCAAGCTCTTAGGGTTAGGATTATGTCAAACACATTTAAGGTCTCAGCTAAAAGGAAGAATTATGTGAAAAAAAACCAACATATTTCCCTGAATTATCTCCTTCTCCTATTTATTATTATATATTCCTGTACTTGTACTGAAGACAGAATTTATCATACTGAATTTTAATTACTTTTTTAAATTAATTTTTAAATTACTTTTAATTTTTAAAATTAATTTTAATTCTTGTCCATTATGAATAATAATTTCTAGCTACTGTGGTTATAGAAAGAATTAAATGTGACATTACATGTGAAATACCTAGCATAGTCATCATGAGGTAGAAAGTATGCAACAAATGGAATGTCTAATTGCCTACCTGGACTCAATGACTTTTCTCCTGGAGATCTAGATTGTAGACCATGGCAGCATCTGGCTAATGCCAGAAATCAAAAGATATCCTTCAATGACCAGAACTCTTCTCTTGTTATCCCAAGAGGCATCCAAGGCCTTGGACCCTGGAAGTGTGTGGTTTTTACTTTCCTCTGGGCTTGTTCTCTCTTCCATGAAGGGGCCTTAAACACATATGCCAGCCATGCTATACACCTGTTTCTCCCAACTTCTTTTTAAATTTTTTATTATTTCTTATTTTATCAGATGGAATCTCGCTCTGTCACCCAGGCTGGGGTGCAGTGACATGATCTCAGCTCACTGCAAACTCTGCCTCGCAGGTTCAAGTGATTCTCCTGCCTTAGCCTCCCAAGTAGCTGGGATTACAGGTGCCCACCACAACATCTGGTTAATTTTTGTATTTTTAGTAGAGACAGGGTTTCACCATGTTTGCCAGGCTGGTCTTGAACTCCTGACCTCAAGTGATCTGCCCATCTCTGCCTCCCAAAGTGCTGGGACTACAGGCATGAGCCACTGCACCTGGCCTGTTTCTCCCAACTTCTGAAGCTTGTCCTAAGTACATGTCTAAATTCAGTCTCATAGGAGAACCCGTAGCTCATGCCATTTTCAGAAAGAGTGTGTACTCCAATATTCCTTGCTAAACTACTTGTCCAGTCTGTCATTTCATGGTTCCAGAGTCCGTCCTTCCATGAGATATCTACCCTAAGACCCAGTCTTTCTTTGAAGAAACCCCTCCAGTTGAGAGTCCATCCAGAGGGTCAGCAATTGACATTTCATGAGCCATTGAATAGTTCAGGCCTTTTGCACTGAGGTCATAAGTACCATTCAGAGCCAATGTGCCTGTGATGACTCACCCTGGTTCTCTGTTGACCCATAGACAATGCTGTTTTCAATCATAACTTCACAACAAAGTAATAGATGTAAAATTTATTTGTTAATATTCCTAAAGAGACAAGGAGGGATTTTGTTTCTTTCAAGGTGATCCCCTTGCCTCTGCCCCCAAATGAAACTCATCTCTACACCCTGAATGTCATAATACCTTTTCTGGGCTGCACTTTTGTTGCAGATTATGTAAGATCACCACTATTGTGGGATCTGGCCAGCAGCCCGCAATGCAATGTCTCTCTTTGTTCCCAGGCAGATCAGCAGGTTGAGAAATAATAGGCACATACAAGATAGTGAAAGCTGGGTCCAGGGGGGTCACCACCTTCTGGTCCCATGATGCTGCCAATGCACTGGATATACCAGCATTTATTATTAAGTTTAGTGAGGGTGAGGGTAGGTTAGTGAGGGATTTAGGGTCATTTGATTATGAGGTGAGATGGTCACATGGGGATGAAATAATTCTTTAACATAACATCTGTATGCAGAAGTACAGTATACAGAGATAAGAATTTACAATATAGTGTGTGCATCAATAATTTCTAACAGAGCCTTAAAACAGAAACAGTCTTTCCATAACCTATGATTAGCAAGATATTAATCAGCAGTAACAGTTGCAGCAAAAGCTGTTTACAAACAATCCATAGAAACAGGACGTGAAGCTAGACAATGCGTTAGACCAGAAATTCTCAGAAGGGAGTATGTCTTAACCCCAAAGAGGCCTAGAAGAGCTGTGGCAAGATGATGAGGGTGTTTATAGCTCTATCTTATCCATATGAACAGGTGCCCCTCATGCGTCCGTTTATAGGCTCTCCACAAGGGTCGCATTCCATTCCCAGAGCTATGAACATCTGCTTTTCTGGGATAGGAATCTTGGTGATGTGAAACCTCCCTGACTGCACGTCTGTTCACAGGCTCTCTGCAGGGGGAAGCACATCATGCACTGTTGGCTCATTCTGGCAGCCCAACCTGGCCTTGTCTTTACACAATCCTGCATACAATTTTGTATTTACAATAATCAGGAGCATTTCATCTTTTATTCCACAGCAATAGTTTCAGGGGGTCTCCCTGTACACCACTAGGTGAGTCTGCAGGACAGTGTCTTGCATGCCTTCTCTGGAACTAGTCAGGGAATAAAGACTCCTGAGGTGTCACTTCTGGCTCACTCCTCTACAATTTCCTCTCTTTTATATCCCATACTGTTTTGCAGTGGTTTCAGGAAGAGTTGTGATGATTATGGTAATGATAATGATGATGGTGATTATGATGGTGATAGCTGTCATTTACTGAGCAGCAACACTGTGTCAAGAACATATTTCTGAGCATCATGAGAATTATCACTTTTAAATCTCACAACAAAACTATGAGGTGTGTAGCAACATTATCTCCAATTTGTAGGCAAAAATTCTGAGGCACAAAAAAAGGGTAGATATAATATCAAAGTCACACACATTGGAAGTTGTTAAGACAGGATCTAATCTGTCTGGTCCCAGAAACAACTAAAGTGTACAAAGAAATAAAGACACAGGAGGGGGCCGCCTAGAAGCAGCTACAGTGCATGGTTTTCACAGAGAGAAAAGGAATGAGCAAATACAGCACCTTCAATTGAAACATCCAGGTACTTGCAGTGGGACTGATCAAGGAAATAGCTCAACTCATGGAGAATGGAGAAAAACAGGGAAGGGAAATGGCCTACCAGCTCCAGAATTCCTGGCAAAGGTGACTGCAACTCAGGCAAGGCAGGAGGTTGAACTATCATACATACCCCTAAAAGGGGGCTGAATACAGGGTGCTGAGTAGTGATGGTCTGCGGGCCCCACTTCTATGGTGCCTCACAGCATAAGACTCACTGGCTTGGAATTCCAGCCAGCCACCGGCAACAGTGTTGCACCTATCTGGGACCTGGGACAGGATGAAGTTCCCAAGGGGAGGGGCAGGCTGCAATCTGTGCTCCTTGAGCAACTCAGCCATTCTAGCCTGTGGGCTTTAGAGAGCCCAAGCTGACCAGGGCAGAAGTGGCACCCCAGCATAACACAGCTGCTCTATAAAAGCATGGCCACACTGCTTCTTTAAGTGAGTCCCTGATTTGTTCCTCCTCAGTAGGGGGAACCTCCTAACTGGGGACTCCAGCTATTCCTGCCAATGTTCTCTGGCTAACAGAGATTTGAAAACTTTCTGAGACAGAGCTGCTAGAAGGAGGAATGGTCTGCCATCTTTGGTGTTTCAGTGACTTAGCCATTCCAGTCTCCAGACTTTGGAGATCCCAAGCTAACTGACTGGAGGTAAAAGCGGTACCCCAGCCCAGCACACCTGCTTTATGAAAGCATTGCTGACTGCCTTTTTAAGTAGGTCCCCAATTCTGTTCTTCCTGAGTGGGTGAGACCTCCCAACCAACATCTCCAGCCACCTCCTACTGGTGCATTCAGGCTGGCAAGAAGTCTGTACATTCCGGAATGAAGCTCCCAAAAAAGGCTGCAGGCTGCCATCTTTGCTGTTGTGCAGTCTTCACTGGTGATACCTCCAGATACTGAAAAATCTAAGGTGACTAAGGATTGGAGTGGACCCCCAGCAAACTGAAGCAGCCCTACTGAAATGTGGCCAGACTGTTAAGAGAAAATAAAACCCAACCAAATATCAATAACCTCAAAGAATGAAGGTAGATAAGCCCACAAAGATGAGAAAGAATTACTGCAAGAACACTGAAACCTCGAAAAGCCAGAGTGCTCTTGTTCCTACAAATGCCCAAATCACCTCTTCAGCAAGGGTTCAGAACTGGGCTGAGACTAAAACGGCTGAAGTGACAGAAGTAGAATTCAGAATATGGATAAAAATGAATTTCACTGAGCTAAAGGAGCACATCGTATCCCAATTCAAGCAAGTTAAAAACCATGATAAACCAGTGCAGGAGCTGACAAACAAAATATCCAGTACAGAGAAGAATGTAACTGACCTGATAGAGCTGAAAAATACACAAGAATTTCATAATTCAATTGCAAGTATTAATAGCAGAATACACCAAATGGAGAAAAAGTGTGAGCTTCAAGACCTTCTTTTTGAAATAAGACAGGCAGACAAAAATAGAGAAAAAAGAATAAAAGGAAATAAACAAAACCTGCAGGAAATATGGGATTGTGTAAAAAAAATGAATCTGTGACTGATTGGTGTACGTGAAAGAGATGGGGAGAATAAAACAAATTTGAAAAACATATTTCAGGATATTATTTATAAAAAGTTTCCCAACCTAGCTAGACAGGCCAACATTCAAATTCAGGAAATGCAGAGAACCCCAGTAAGATACTCCATGAGAAGATCATCCCCAAGACACACAATCATCAGATTCTACAAGGTTGATATGAAAGAAAAAATGTTAAGGGCAGCCAGAGACAGAGACAAGGTCACCTGCAAAGGGAAGCCCATCGGACTAAAAGTGGACCTCTCAGTGGAAACCCTCAAAGCCAGGAGAAATTGGGACCAATATTCAACATTCATAAAAGAAATTTTAACCCAGAATTTCATATCTGGCCAAACTATGCTTCATAAGCAAAGAAAAAATAAGATCCTTTTTCAAACAAGCATATGTTGAAGGTATGTATTACCGCCAGACCTGCCTTACAAGAGCTCCTGAAGGAAGCACTTAGTATGGAAGGGAAAAACTATTACCAGCCACTACGAAAACACACTGAAGTACATACACCAGTGACACTATGAAGCAACCACATAAATGTTTGCAAAATAACCAGCTAACATCACAATGACAGAATCAAATTCATACATAACAATGCTAACATTAAATGTAAATGAGCTAAATGCCCCAATTAAAAGACACAGAGCAGCAAGATCGATAAAGAACCAAAACCCGACTGGGGAGGAGCCAAGATGGCCGAATAGGAACAGCTCCCGTCTACAGCTCCCAGCGTGAGCGACGCAGAAGACGGGTGATTTCTACATTTCAATCTGAGGTACCGGGTTCATCTCACTAGGGAGTGCCAGACAGTGGGTGCAGGCCAGTGGGTGCGCGCACCGTGCGCGAGCCGAAGCAGGGCGAGGCATTGCCTCACCTGGGAAGCGCAAGGGGTCAGGGAGTTCCCTTTCCGAGTCAAAGAAAGGGGTGACGGACGCACCTGGAAAATCGGGTCACTCCGACCCGAATATTGCGCTTTTCAGACCGGCTTAAAAAACGGCGCACCACGAGACTATATCCCACACCTGGCTCGGAGGGTCCTACGCCCACGGAATCTCGCTGATTGCTAGCACAGCAGTCTGAGATCAAACTGCAAGGCGGCAACGAGGCTGGGGGAGGGGCGCCCGCCATTGCCCAGGCTTGCTTAGGTAAACAAAGCAGCCTGGAAGCTCGAACTGGGTGGAGCCCACCACAGCTCAAGGAGGCCTGCCTGCCTCTGTAGGCTCCAACTCTGGGGGCAGGGCACAGACAAACAAAAAGACAGCAGTAACCTCTGCAGACTTAAATGTCCCTGTCTGACAGCTTTGAAGAGAGCAGTGGTTCTCCCAGCACGCAGCTGGAGATCTGAGAACGGGCAGACTGCCTCCTCAAGTGGGTCCCTGACCCCTGACCCCCGAGCAGCCTAACTGGGAGGCACCCCCCAGCAGGGGCACACTGACACCTCACACGGCAGGGTATTCCAACAGACCTGCAGCTGAGGGTCCTGTCTGTTAGAAGGAAAACTAATAAACAGAAAGGACATCCACACCAAAAACCCATCTGTACATCACCATCATCAAAGACCAAAAGTAGATAAAACCACAAAGATGGGGAAAAAACAGAACAGAAAAACTGGAAACTCTAAAATGCAGAGCGCCTCTCCTCCTCCAAAGGAACGCAGTTCCTCACCAGCAATGGAACAAAGCTGGATGGAGAATGATTTTGACGAGCTGAGAGAAGAAGGCTTCAGACGATCAAATTACTCTGAGCTACGGGAGGACATTCAAACCAAAGGCAAAGAAGTTGAAAACTTTGAAAAAAATTTAGAAGAATGTATAACTAGAATAACCAATACAGAGAAGTGCTTAAAGGAGCTGATGGAGCTGAAAACCAAGGCTCGAGAACTACGTGAAGAATGCAGAAGCCTCAGGAGCCGATGCGATCAACTGGAAGAAAGGGTATCAGCAATGGAAGATGAAATGAATGAAATGAAGCGAGAAGGGAAGTTTAGAGAAAAAAGAATAAAAAGAAATGAGCAAAGCCTCCAAGAAATATGGGACTATGTGAAAAGACCAAATCTACGTCTGATTGGTGTACCTGAAAGTGATGCAGAGAATGGAATCAAGTTGGAAAACACTCTGCAGGATATTATCCAGGAGAACTTCCCCAATCTAGCAAGGCAGGCCAACGTTCAGATTCAGGAAATACAGAGAATGCCACAAAGATACTCCTCGAGAAGAGCAACTCCAAGACACATAATGGTCAGATTCACCAAAGTTGAAATGAAGGAAAAAATGTTAAGGGCAGCCAGAGAGAAAGGTCGGGTTACCCTCAAAGGGAAGCCCATCAGACTAACAGCGGATCTCTCGGCAGAAACCCTACAAGCCAGAAGAGAGTGGGGGCCAATATTCAACATTCTTAAAGAAAAGAATTTTCAACCCAGAATTTCATATCCAGCCAAACTAAGCTTCATAAGTGAAGGAGAAATAAAATACTTTACGGACAAGGAAATGCTGACCGATTTTGTCACCACCAGGCCTGCCCTAAAAGAGCTCCTGAAGGAAGCGCTAAACATGGAAAGGAACAACCGGTACCAGCCGCTGCAAAATCATGCCAAAATGTAAAGAGCATCCAGACTAGGAAGAAACTGCATCAACTAACGAGCAAAATCACCAGCTAACATCATAATGACAGGATCAAATCACACATAACAATATTAACTTTAAATGTAAATGGACTAAATTCTCCAATTAAAAGACACAGACTGGCAAGTTGGATAAAGAGTCAGGACCCACCAGTGTGCTGTATTCAGGAAACCCATCTCACGTGCAGAGACACACATAGGCTCAAAATACAAGGATGGAGGAAGATCTACCAAGCAAATGGAAAACAAAAAAAGGCAGGGGTTGCAATCCTAGTCTCTGATAAAACAGACTTTAAACCAACAAAGATCAAAAGAGACAAAGAAGGCCATTACATAATGGTAAAGGGATCAATTCAACAAGAGGAGCTAACTATCCTAAATATATATGCACCCAATGCAGGAGCACCCAGATTCATAAAGCAAGTCCTGAGTGACCTACAAAGAGACTTAGACTCCCACACATTAATAATGGGAGACTTTAACACCCCACTGTCAACATTAGACAGATCAATGAGACAGAAAGTCAACAAGGATACCCAGGAATTGAACTCAGCTCTGCACCAAGCGGACCTAATAGACATCTACAGAACTCTCCACCCCAAATCAACAGAATATACATTTTTTTCAGCACCTCACCACACCTATTCCAAAATTGACCACATAGTTGGAAGTACAAACCCACAGCCAATATCATACTGAATGGGCAAAAACTGGAAGCATTCCCTTTGAAAACTGGAACAAGACAGGGATGCCCTCTCTCACCGCTCCTATTCAACATAGTGTTGGAAGTTCTGGCCAGGGCAATCAGGCAGGAGAAGAAAATAAAGGGTATTCAATTAGGAAAAGAGGAAGTCAAATTGTCCCTGTTTGCAGACGACATGATTGTTTATCTAGAAAACCCCATCGTCTCAGCCCAAAATCTCCTTAAGCTGATAAGCAACTTCAGCAAAGTCTCAGGATACAAAATCAATGTACAAAAATCACAAGCATTCTTATACACCAACAACAGACAAACAGAGAGCCAAATCATGAGTCAACTCCCATTCACAATTGCTTCAAAGAGAATAAAATACCTAGGAATCCAACTTACAAGGGATGTGAAGGACCTCTTCAAGGAGAACTACAAACCACTGCTCAAGGAAATAAAAGAGGATACAAACAAATGGAAGAACATTCCATGCTCATGGGTAGGAAGAATCAATATCGTGAAAATGGCCATACTGCCTAAGGTAATTTACAGATTCAATGCCATCCCCATCAAGCTACCAATGACTTTCTTCACAGAATTGGAAAAAACTACTTTAAAGTTCATATGGAACCAAAAAAGAGCCCGCATCGCCAAATCAATCCTAAGCCAAAAGAACAAAGCTGGAGGCATCACACTACCTGACTTCAAACTATACTACAAGGCTACAGTTACCAAAACAGCATGGTACTGGTACCAAAACAGAGATATAGATCAATGGAACAGAACAGAGCCCTCAGAAATAATGCCGCTTACCTACAACTATCTGATCTTTGACAAACCTGAGAAAAACAAGCAATGGGGAAAGGATTCCATATTTAATAAATGGTGCTGGGAAAACTGGCTAGCCATATGTAGAAAGCTGAAACTGGATCCCTTCCTTACACCTTATACAAAAATCAATTCAAGATGGATTAAAGATTTAAACGTTAGACCTAAAACCATAAAAACCCTAGAAGAAAACCTAGGCATTACCATTCAGGACATAGGCATGGGCAAGGACTTCATGTCCAAAACACCAAAAGCAATGGCAACAAAAGCCAAAATTGACAAATGGGATCTAATTCAACTAAAGAGCTTCTGCACAACAAAAGAAACTACCATCAGAGTGAACAGGCAACCTACAACATGGGAGACAATTTTCGCAACCTACTCATCTGACAAAGGGCTAATATCCAGAATCTACAATGAACTCAAACAAATTTACAAGAAAAAAACAAACAACCCCATCAAAAAGTGGGCGAAGGACATGAACAGACACTTCTCAATGAAGTCATTTATGCAGCCAAAAAACACATGAAAAAATGCTCATCATCACTGGCCATCAGAGAAATGCAAATCAAAACCACTATGAGATATCATCTCACACCAGTTAGAATGGCAATCATAAAAAAGTCAGGAAACAACAGGTGCTGGAGAGGATGTGGAGAAATAGGAACACTTTTACACTGTTGGTGGGAATGTAAACTAGTTCAACCCTTGTGGAAGTCAGTGTGGCGATTCCTCAGGGATCTAGAACTAGAAATACCATTTGACCCAGCCATCCCATTACTGGGTATATACCCAAATGACTATAAATCATGCTGCTATAAAGACACATGCACACGTATGTTTATTGCGGCATTATTCACAATAGCAAAGACTTGGAACCAACCCAAATGTCCAACAATGATAGACTGGATTAAGAAAATGTGGCACATATACACCATGGAATACTATGCAACCATAAAAAATGATGAGTTCATGTCCTTTGTAGGGACATGGATGAAATTGGAAACCATCATTCTCAGTAAACTATCGCAAGAACAAAAAACCAAACACCGCATATTCTCACTCACAGGTGGGAATTGAACAATGAGATCGCATGGACACAGGAAGGGGAATATCACACTCTGGGGACTGTGGTGGGGAGGGGGGAGGGGGGAGGGATAGCATTGGGAGATATACCTAATGCTAGATGACGAGTTAGTGGGTGCAGCACACCAGCATGGCACATGTATACATATGTAACTAACCTGCACAATGTGCACATGTACCCTAAAACTTAAAGTATAATTAAAAAAAAAAAAGAAAAAAGATAGTTTTATAAAAAAAAAAAAAAAAAGAACCAAAACCCATTGGCATGTTGTCTTCAAAAGTCCCATCTCACATTTGATGACACACATAGGCTCAAAATAAAGGGATGGAGGAAAATTTACCAAACAAATGGAAAGCAGAAAAAAATATCAGGTGTTGCAATCCTGGTTTCTAACAAAACGGAGTTTAAACCAACAGAGATCAAAAAAGACAAAGAAGGGCATTACATAATGGGGTAAGTCAACAGAGTTCTATTAAACGAGCTCCAATTCAACATAAAGGGTTCAATTTATCAGGAAGACTTAACTATCCTAAATATACATGCACCCAACTCAGGAGCACCCAGATTCATAAAGAAAATCCTTAGAGACCTTCAAAGAGACTTAGACTCCCACACAGTGGGAGACTTTAACACCCCACTGACAATATTAAATCATTGACAAAGAAAACTAACAAAAATATTCAGAACCTGAACTGGGTCAAATGGACCTGATAGATATCTATAGAACTCTCCACCCAAAACCAAAAGAATATACATTCTTTTCAGTGCCGCATGACACTTTCTGTGAAATTGATCACATATTCAGAAGTGAAACATTCCTAAGCAAATGCAAAGGAACTGAAATTATAATGAACAGTTTCTCAGGCCACAGCACAATCCAGTTAGAACTGAAAACAAAGAAATTAACTCAAAACCATACAATTTCATGGAAATTAAATCAACTTCTCCTGAATGATTTTTGGGTAAATAATGAAATTAAGGTAGAAATCAAGAAGTTCTTTGAAACTAATGAGAACAAAAGTAAAACGTACCAGAATCACTGGGATACCACTAAGGCAGCGTTAAGAGGGAAATTTATAGCACTAAATGCCCACACCAAAAGCTAGAAAGATCTCAAGTTAACAATCTAACATCACAACTAAAAAAACTAGAAAACCAAAAGCAAACAAAGCCCAAAGCTAGTAGAAGAAACGAAATAAGCAAAATCAGAGCTGAACTGAATGATATAGACATGAAAAAACATTCAAAACATCATCAAATCCAGAAGCTGCTATTCTGAAAAAAATAATAAAAAAGATAGACTGCTAGATAGACTAATAAAGAAAAAAGGAGAGAAGATTCAAATACAATCAGAAATTATAAGGGGGATGTTACCAGCGACCCAAGAGAAATACAATCATCAGAGAATATTATAAACACCTCTATGCACATAAACTAAAAAATCTAGAAGAAATGGATAGATTCCTGGACACATACACCCTCCCAAGACTGAATCAAGAAGAAACTGAATCCCTGAAGAGACCAGTAATGAATTTTGAAATTGAGGCGGTAATAATTAGCTTACCAAACAAAAAAAAAAAACCCATGATCAGATGGCTTCTCAGCTGCATTTTACCAGATGTACAAAGAAGATCTGGTACCATTCCTACTGAAACTTTTCCAAAAACTGAAAAAGAGAAACATCTCCCTAACTCATTCTATGAGGCCAGAGTCATCCTTATACCAAAACCTGGCAAAGACACAACAAAAAAAGAAAACTTCATGCCAGTATCCTTTGTGAACACTAATGGAAAAATCCTCAACAGGATACTGGCAAACCAAATCCAGCAGCACATCAAAAATCTAATCTACAATTATAAAGTAGGCTTCATCCCTGGGATGCAAGGTTTGTTCAAAATACACAAATCAGTAAATGTGATTTATCACATAAACAATTGAAAACAAAAACTCATCTTTTTCTCTATAGATGTAGAAAATGCTCTTGATAAAATTCAACATCCATTCATGTTACAAACTCTCAATAAACTAAGTGTTGCAGGAATGTACCTTAAAATAATAAGAGCCATATATAAGAATCCCACAGCCAATATCATACTGAATGCACAAAAGCTGGAAGTATCCCCCTTGAAAACCAGTACAAAAAGTTGATGCCTCCTCTCATCCCTCCTATTCAACATAGTGTTGGAAATTCTGGCCCGGGTAATCAGTCAAGAGAAAAAATAAAGGACATTCAAATAGAAAGAGAAGAAGTCAAACTATCCCTGTTTGCAGATGACAAAATCTTATATGTAGAAAACCCCATCATCTCAACTGAAAAGCCTCTTAAGTTGATAAACAACTTCAGCAAAGTCTCAGGATACAAAATAAATGTGCAAAAATCACTAGCATTTCTACACTCCAACAGCAGCCAAGCTGAAAGCCAAATCACAAACAAACTCCCATTCACAATTGCCACAAAAGAATAAAACATCTAGAAATAAAACTAACAAGGGAGGTAAAGGATCTCTACAAGGAGAACTAAAAACCACTGCTCAAAGGAATCAGAGATGACACAACCAAATGGAAAAACATTTTACACTCATAGATACAAAGAATCAATATTGCTAAAATGGCCATACTGCCCAAGCAATTTATAGATTCAATGGTATTCTGATTAAACTACCATGATTTTCTTCACAGGACTAGAAAAAACTGTTTTAAAATTTATATGGATCCAAAAATGTGCCCAAATAGCTAAGGCAATCCTCAGCAAAAAGAACAAAGTTGAAGGCATCAAGCTACCCAACTTCAAACTATACTACAGGGCTAGAGTAACCAAAACAGCATGGTACTGGTACAAGAACATACATATAGATCAATGGAAGAGAATAGAGAACCTAGAAATAAGACCACACACCTACAACTATCTGATTTGTGATCAATTTGGCAAAAACAAGCAATGGGGAAAGGATTCCTTATTCAGTAAATGGTGCTGAGATAACTGGCTAGCCATATTCAGAAAATTGAAACTGTACCCCTTTCTTAAACCACATACAAAAATTAACTCAAGATTTATTAATAACTTAAATGTAAAAACTCAACTATAAAAACCCTGGAAGACAACCTAAGCCATACCATTCAAGACATAGGCATGTGCAAAGATTTCCTGAGGAAGAAGCCACAAGCAATTGTAACAAAAGTAAAAATTGTCAAATGGTATTGAATTAAACTAAAAAGCTTCTGTACAGCAAAATAAAATATCAACAGGGTAAACAGACAACCTAGAGAATTGAAAAAATTTTGCAAACTAAGCCTTTGACAAAGGTGTAACATCTAGCATTTATTTGTTTATTTATTTATATATTTTTGAGATGGAGTCTCACTCTGTCCCCCAGCTGGACTGCAATGGTGTGATCTCAGCTCACTGCAACCTCTGCCTCTGAGGTTCAAATGATTCTCCCGCCTCAGCCTCCTGAGCAGCTGGGATTACAGGCACCCACCATCATTCCTGTCTAATTTTTAATATTTTTTGTACAGATGGGGTTTCACCCTGTTGGCCAGGCTAGTCTTGAACTCCTGACCTCAGGTGATCCACCTGCCTCAGGCTCCCAAAATGCTGGGATTACAGGTATGACCACTGCGCCTGGCCTATCCAGCATCTTTAAACCAATTTATAAGAACTTAAACCAATTTAAAAGAAAAAAACAAACAACTCTATTAAAAATTGAGGAATGTACATGAACAGACAATTTTCAAAGGAAGACAAACACATAGGCAACAAGCATATGAAAAAAAGCTGAATATCACTGATTATTAGATAAATGCAAATGAAAACCACAATGAGAGAGCATCTCACACCAGTTAGAATGACTACTATTAAAAAGTCAAAAATAAATCCTGGCAAGATTGTGGAGAAAAAGGAATGCTTATACACTGTTGGTGGGAGTGTAAATTAGTTTAACTATTGTGGAAGACAGTGTGACAATTCCTCAAAGACCTATAGAGAGAACCCAGCAATCCAATTACTGGGCATATACCTAAAGGAATATACATTGTTCTATTATAAAGACACTTGCCTATGCACATTTATTGCAGCACTATTTGCAATAGCAAAGACATGGAATCAACCTAAATGACCATCAATGATAGACTGGATAAAGAAAATATGATACATACGCACCACGGAATACTATGCAGCCATAAAAAAGAATGAGATTGTGTCCTTTGCAGGAGCATGGATGGAACTGGAGGCCATTATCCTCAGCAAACTAACAGAAACAGAAAACCAAATACCACATGTTCTCACTTATAAGTGGGAGCTAAATTATGAGAACACATGGACACATAGAGGGGAACAACACATACTGTGGCCTATCAGAAGGTGGATGGTGGGAGGAGAGAGAGGATTAGGAAAGATAACTAATGGATATTAGGCTTAATACCTGGGTGAGAAAATAATCTGTATAACAAACCCCATGACACCCATTTACCCATGTAACAAACCTGGACATTTTGCACATGTACCCTGTAAACATAAAATAAATGTTTTTTGTAAAAAAAAAGAAATAATGTGTTTTGATACCCTGGACTCAGTTGAATTGAAGCTATTTCTATTCATAAGAGCCAATTATTAAATAATCAGAAATATTGTGAATAGGTTGTTAACCATAAGAAGCTTAAAGTCAGTGATGTTGGGAGTATTTACAACATGAAAATTAGCAAATACTACACAGCAAAATGTTTCTTTTATTTCCAGTTTGCTAACTCATCACAGCCTGCATGTGATCTTAGAAAAAGCCAGAAACAGAACAGTCATATAGACTGTTTAGGAACCTTATGTCTTAAATCCCATTTCCCAAGCTCTGCTTCTATTGCCCTGGATGAGACTCAATATAAGCGTGTTTTAGGAAGAAAGGGCTGACTAATATTTATGAACTGAAACACAATGTTCCAACACAGGGACACAACAACCCATACCTTTTGATCAGATGTTTTACTCAGCACTTGCTATAATCTACACAATACAGAGACTTTATCTTTCATTTAAAATGTCTGGGATTCACTTCCAAGATGGCTGAATAGGAACAACTCTGGTCTGTAGCTCCCAGTGAGATCAATGTAGAAGTTGAGTGATTTCTGCATTTCCAACTGAGGTACCTGGTTCATATCATTGGGACTGGTTGGACAGTGGATGCAGCCAACAGAGCATGAGCTGAAGCAGGGTGGAGAATTGCCTAACCTGGGAAGCACAAGGGGTAGGGGGATTTCCCTTTTCTAGGCAAGGGAAGCTGTGACAGACTGTACCTGGAGGAATGGTAAACTCTCGCCCAAATACTGCATTTTTCCCACAGTCTTAGCAACCGGCAGACCAGGGGATGCCCTCCCATGCCTGGCTTGGCAGGTCCCACGCCCACAGAGCCTTGATCACTGCTAGCACAGCAGTCTGAGATTGACCTGGAAGGCTGCAGCCTGGCAGGGGGGAAAGGCATCCATCATTGCTGAGGCTTGAATAGGTAAACAAAGTGGCTGTGAAGCTGAAACTGGGCAGAGCCCACTGCAGCTCAGCAAGGCCTACTGCCTCTCTAGAGTCCACCTCTGTGGGCAAGGCATCACTGAACAAAAGGCAGCAGACAACTTCTGCAGACTTAAATGTCGCTGTCTGAAAGCTCTGAAAAGAGCAGTGGTTCTCCCAGCAAGGTGTTTGAGCTTTGAGAACAGACAGACTGACTGCTCAAGTGGATCCCTGACCCCCGTGTAGCTTGACTGGGAGACACCTCCCAGTATGGGCTGAGAAACACCACATACAGGCAGGTTCCCCTCTGGGATGAAGCTTCCAGAGGAAGGATCTGGCATCAATATTTACTGTTCTGCACCATCCACTGGTGATACCCAAGCAAACAGGGTCTTGAGTGGACATCCAGCAAACTCCAATAGACCTGCAATTGAGGGACCTGACTGTCAAAAGGAAAATGAACAAACAGAAAGGAATAGCATCAACACCAACAAAAATGACATCCACACCAAAACCCCATCTGTAGGTCACCAACATCAAACACCAAAGGTAGATAAAACCACAAATATGGGGAGAAATCAGAGCACAAAAGCTGAAAATTCCAAAAACCAGAGCACTCTTCTCCTCTAAAGAATCACATCTCCTCACCAGCAAGGGAACCAAACTGGAGGGAGAATGAGTTTGACAAGTTGACAGAAGTAGGCTTAAGAAGGTCGGTAATAACAAACTTCTCTGAGCTAAAAGGTGGATGTTCTAACCCATCACAAGGAAGCTAAAAACCTTGAAAAAAGGTTAGACCAATGGCTAACTAGAATAAACAGTTTACAGAAGAACTTATGTGACCTGATGAAGCTGAAAACCACAGCAGGAGAACTCCGTGACACATGCACAAGGTTCAATAGCCGATTCAATCAAGTGGAAGAAAGGATATAAGTGACTGGTGATCAAATTAATGAAATAAAGCAAGAAGACAAGATTAGAGAAAAAAGAGGGAAAAGAAACAAACAAAGCCTCCAAGAAATATGGGACTATGTGAAAAGACCAAATCTGCATTTCATTGGTGTACCTGAAAGTGATGGGGAGAATGGAACCAATTTAGAAAACACCCTTCAAGATATAAGCCAGGAGAACTTCTCCAACCGAGCAAGGCAGGCCAATATTCAAATTCAGGAAATAGAGAACACCACAAAGATACTGCTCGAGAAGAGCAACCCCAAGATACATAATTGTCAGATTCACCAAGGTTGAAATGAAGAAAAAAATGTTAAGGGCAGCCAGAGAGAAAGGTCGGGTTACCCACAAAGGGAAGCCCATCAGACTAACAGCTGATCTCTCAGCAGAAACCCTACAAGCCAGAAGAGTGGGGGCCAGTATTCAACATTCTTAAAGAAAAACATTTTCAACCCAGAATTTCATGTCCAGCCAAACTAAGCTTCATAATTGAAGGAGAAATACAATCCTTTACAGACAAGCAAATGCTGAGAGATTTTGTCACCACCAGGCCTGCCTTAAAAGAGCTTCTGAAGGAATCACTAAACATGGAAAGGAACAACCGGTACCAGCCACTGCAAAAACATGCCAAATTGTAAAGACCATCAAGGCTAGGAAGAAACTGCATCAATTAACGGGCAAAATAACCAGCTAACATCATAATGACAGGATCTAAATCACACATAACAATATTAACCTTACATGTTAATGAGCTAAATGCCCCAGTTAGAAGACACAGACTGGCAAATTGGATAAAGAATCAAGACCCATCAGTGTGCCGTATTCAGGAGACCCATCTCACATACAGAAACACACATAGGCTCAAAATAAAGGGATGGAGGAAGATCTACCAAGCAAATGGAAAACAAAAAAAAGCAGGGGTTGCAATCCTAGTCTCTAATAAAACAGACTTTAGACCAACAAAGATCAAAAGAGACAAAGAAGGTCATTACATAATGGGAAAGGGATCAATGGAGCAAGAAGAGCTAACTATCCTAAATATATATGCACCCAATACAGGAGCACACAGATTCATAAAGCAAGTCCTTAGAGACCTACAAAGAGACATAAACTCTCATACAATAATAATGGGAGACGTTAGCACCCCATTATCAACATTAGACAGATCAACAAGACAGAATGTTAACAAGGATATTCAGGACTTGAACTCAGGTCTGCACCAAGTGGGCCTAATAGACATCTACAGAACTCTCCATCCCAAATCAACAGAATATACATTTTCTTAGCACCAAATTGCCCTTATGCTAAAATTGACCACACAATTGGAAGTAAAACACTCCTCAGCAAATGAAAAAGAAGAGAAATCACAACAAACTGTCTCTCAGAACACAGTGTAATCAAATTAGAACTCAGGATTAAGAAACTCTCTCAAAACTGCACAACTACATGGAAACTGAACAACCTTATCCTGAAGGAGTAAATAATGAAATGAACGCAGAAATAAAGGTGTTCTTTGAAACCAATGAGAACAAAGACACAATGTAGCAGAATCTCTGGGACACATTTAAAGCAGTGTGTAGAGGGAAATTTATAGCACTAAATGCCTACAAGAGAAAGCAGGAAAGATCTAAAATCAACACCCTAACATCATCATTAAAAGAACTAGAAAAGCAAGAGCTCACAAATTCAAAAGCTAGCAGAGGCAAGAAATAACTAAGATCAGAGCAGAACTGAAGGAGATAGACACAAAAAAAAACCCTTCAAAACATCAATGAATCCAGGAGCTGATTTTTTTGAGAAGATCAACAAAATAGATCAGTACCCAGACTAATAAAAAAGAAAAGACAGAAGAATCAAATGGATGCAATAAAAAATGATAAAGGGGATATCACCACCAATCCCACAGAAATACGAACTACCATCAGAGAATACTATAAACACCTCTACACAAATAAACTAGAAAGTCTAGAAAAAATGGATAAATTCCTGGATGCACACACCCTCCCAAGACTAAACCAGGAAGAAGTTGAATCTCTGAATAGACCAATAACAGGTTCTGAAATTGAGGCAACAATTAATAGCCTACAACCAAAAAAAGTCCAGGACCAGATGGATTCACATCTGAATTCTACCAGAGGTACAAAGAGGAGCTGGTACCATTCCTTCAGAAACTATTCCAATCAATAGAAAAAGAGGGAATCCTCCCTAACTCATTTTATGAGGCCAGCATCATCCTGATACCAAAGCCTGGCAGTGACACAACAAAAAAAGAGAATTTTAGAACAATATCTCTGATGAACATCTGTGTGAAACTCCTCAATAAAATACTGGCAAACCGAATCCAGCAGCATATCAAAGAGCTTATCCACCATGATCAAGTTGGCTACATCTCTGGGATGCAAGGCTGGTTCAACATATGCAAATCAATAAATGTAATCCATCACATAAATAGAACCAATGACAAAAACCACATGATTATCTCAATAGATGCAGAAAAGGCCTTCCATAAAATTCAACACCCTTCATGTTAAAATCTTTCAAAAAACTAGGTATCGATGGAATGTATCTCAAAATAGTAATAGCTATTTATCATAAACCCACAGCCAATATCATACTGGATGGGCAAAAACTGAAAACATTCCCTTTGAAAAATGTCACAAGACAATCATGGCCTCTCTCACCACTCCCATTCAACATAGTGTTGGAAGTTCTGGCCAGGGCAGTCAGTCAAGAGAAAAAAATAAAGGGTATTCAATTAGGAAAAGAGGAAGTCAAATTGTCCCTGTTTGCAGATGACATGATTGTATATCTAGAAAACTGCATCGTCTCAGCCCCAAATCTCCTTAAGCTAATAAGCAACTTCAGCAAAGTCTCAGGATGCAAAATCGATGTGCAAAAATCACAAGCATTGCTATGTACCAATAACAGAAAAACAGAGAGCCAAACCATGAGTGAACTTCCATTCACAATTGCTACAAAGAGAATAAAATACCTATGAATACAACTAACAAGGGATGTGAAGGACCTCTTCAAGGAGAACTACAAACCACTGCTCAACGAAATAAAAGAGGACACAAAAAAATGGAAGAACAGTCCATGCTCATGGGTTGGAAGAATCAATATCATGAAATTGCCATACTGCCCAAGGTAATTTATAGATTCAATGCCGTCCCCATCAAGGTCCAATGATTTTCTTCACAGAATTGGAAAAAACTACTTTAAAGTTTATATGGAACAAAAAAGAGCTCACATTGCCAAAATGTGAGCAAAAAGAACAAGGCTGGAGGCATCATGCTATCTGACTTCAAACTATACTACAGGACTACAGTAACCAAAACAGCATGGTACTGGTACCAAAACAGATATATATATATTAATGGAACAAAAGAGAGGCCTCAGAAATAACACCACACATCTACAACCATCTGATCTTTGACAAACCTGACAATAACAAGGAATGAGGAATAGATTCCCTATTTAATAAACGGTGCTGGGAAAATTGGCTAGCCATATGTAGAAAGCTGAAACTGGATCCCTTCCTTACAACTTATACAAAAATTAATTCAAGATGGATTAAAGACTTAAATGTTAGACCTAAAACCATAAAAACTTTAGAAGAAAACCTAGGCAATACCATTCAGGACATACGCATGTCCAAATGCTTATTGACTAAAACACCAAAAGCAATGACAACAAAAGCCAAAATAGACAAACTGGATCTAATTAAACTAAAGAGCTTCTGCATGGTAAAAGAAACAACCATCAGAGTGAACAGGCAACCTACAGAATGGGAGAAAATTTTTGCAATCTACCCATCTGACAAAAGGCTAATATCCAGAATCTACAAAAAACTTAAACAAATTTACAAGAAAAAAACAGCAACCCCACCAGCAATCCCATTACTGGGTATATACCCAAAGGATTATAAATCATGCTGCTTTAAAGACACATGCACACGTATATTTATTGTAGCACTATTCACAATAGCAAAGACTTGGAACCAACCCAAATGTCCAACAATGATAGACTGGATTAAGAAAATGTGGCACATATACACCATGGAATACTATGCAGCCATAAAAAATGATGAGTTCATGTCCTTTTTAGGGACATGGATGATGCTGGAAACCCATCATTCTCAGCAAACTATCGCAAGGACAAAAAAACAAACACCGCATGTTCTCACTCATAGGTGGGAATTGAACAATGAGAACACATGGACACAGGAAGAGGAACATCACACACCGAGGCCTGTTGTGGGGTGGGGGGAGGGGGGAGGGATAGCATTAGGAGATATACCTAATGTTAAATGACAAGTTAATGGGTGCAGCACACTAACATGGCACATGTATACATATGTAACTAACCTGCACATTGTGCACATGTACCCTAAAACTTAAAGTATAATAAAAAAAAAGTGGGCAAAGTATTTGAACAGACACTTCTCAAAAGAAGACATTTATGTAGCCAACAGACACATGAAAAAATGTTCAACATCACTGGTCATCAGAGAAATGCAAATCAAAACCACAATGCGATACCATCTCACACCAGTTAGAATGGCGATCATTAAAGTCAGGAAACAACAGGTGCTGGAGAGGATGTGGAGAGATAGGAACATTTTACACTGTTGGTGGGAGTGTAAATTAGTTCAATCATTATGGAAGACAGTGTGGCGATTCCTCAAGGATCTAGAACTAGAAATACCATTTGACCTAGTGATCCCATTGCTGGGTATATACCCAAATGATTATAAATCTTGCTGCTATAAGGACACATGCACACATATGTTTATTGTGGCACTATTCACAATAGCAAAGACTTGGAACCAACCCAAGTGTCCATCAATGATAGACTGGATAAAGAAAATGTGGCACATATAAACCATGTAATACTATGCAGCCATAAAAAAGGATGAGTTCATGTTCTTTGCAGGGACATGGATGAAGCTGGAAACCATCATTCTGAGCAGACTATCACAAGGACAGAAAACCAAACACTGCATGTTCTCACTCTTAGGTGGGAATTGAACAATGAGAACACTTGGATACAGGGCAGGGAACATCACACACTGGGGCCTGTCAGGGGGTGGGGGACTTGGGGAAGGATAGCATTAGGAGAAATACCTTATGTAAATGACGACTTGATGTGTGCAGCAAACCAACATGGCACATGTATACTTATGTAACCTTCACGCTGTGCACATGTACCCTAGAACTTAAAGTATAGTATAAAAAAATTCCTATGGCATAGACCTGGTCGCAAAACCATCACCAAACTCCTAAATAAAGACCAAAATGTTTCTAATGGCAAATATGAAAATAAATGTGAGCTATAGATACATTTCAGAAAGATTAATACAAACAATTGAGAGAATTTTTTCCCCAAAAAGATGAATTAATGCCAATCATTTTCAAATTCTTTGAACAAATGGAAGAAAAGAGAACACTTTCATACTACTTTTATGACTCTAGCATTACCCTGAGACCAAAGCCAGACAAGGATATTATGAGAAAAGACAATAACAGGCTAATATTGCTGAAGAACATAGATGTGAAGATCCTCAACAAAATACTAGCAAACTGAATCTACGAACACCTTTATAAGGTCATACACCATGGCCAAGTGGGATTTATCCCTGGAATTAAAGGATAATTCAATATATAAAAATCTATCAATATGATATACCATATTAACAGAATAAAGGAATAAAAAAAACACAATCACACAATCATTTCAGTAGATGCCTAAATACATTTGAAATAATTCTAAACACATTCATGATAAAAACTCTAAACAAACTGAGACAAAAAGGAAATTACCTCAAGACAACAAAGTCTGTATACAGACAGCCCACAGATAACAGCATACTCAATGGCGAAAAGGGCATTAGAGAAGAAATTAATAGAATAAAAAGAAGAGTGAAGTAAAGGCCTTTGAAAACCTGGATTAAAGAAATGATTATCTAGGAAAAATACAAGTCACCAAACTAAACACTTGAGAGTTAAAAATTCTCAGTAGATAAATTTCCCGGAAAGAATTTGTGGGATTTATCAGAGATCTACCCTACCGTATCCTATCTATCCTATCCACCAACATACCCTGCCCCCTTCAGCTTTTTCACACTTCCCAAACTGGAATCTGTTTCTCTGTCATCACCTCTGCTGAAAACTGAGCTTCCTCCAGAGAGAAGAAAGGATTTTGAGTAGTGAGAGAGGGGCAAGCTACAAGTTCAACTCATTACCTTTAACCTGCACACTGCTGCAGGTGAGTCATGTAATGGTCTCACTGACCAAAGGCAGGTGTCGGGGTGTCCCCCAACCAGGAAGATGTTAGCCCAGCAGCTAATGCTATCTCTTGCTTGGGTAAATTTCTTCAGCCATCTATGTCAAGGCCCAAGTGGTTTGCATTCTGAAAACCACAATCCTAGGTTACTCACCATCAATTGGCTAAAAAAGAACTAATGTTTTGACTAATACCTTCTAGCAGGGTGAATGGCCAAGGCTCTGCAGGCCTGATAGGGAGTTTCCTATCAAACAATGCTTTACTGGTACTGAGAATGTTAGATTTGCATGAGACCTTTGGAGAACATATAGTATAATACTGTCTTCCCACAACCCTAGTTCTCTCATTTACAAGTGGGGAAGCCAAGACTTCCGGGAGTAAAGTGAAATACCTGAGGTGAAAAGGTATGAAAGTGGAAGCCTCAGGACTCAAACTGAGACTCCTCATCTCTATTCTATTGTTTTTCCAAGCCACAGCTTCTGAAGCTAATAGTCTAGGTCTACTGGTCAGTTCTTACAGTATAGTGAGAACAGAGGGGGGATTAGGACCCCTGCCTTGAAAGCAATGGGAAAGTGGTGCTAAGAATGTAAGATGAGATGTATGGGCTGGCTGCAGCCTTTGTTGTAAAAAAACCTTTGTGCCGCTGCCATCTCTTATCTGACCCCAGGTTCCTTTAACTGAATAGGTGGTGGAAAAACTCCCATCATGGCCTGATTTATCTTGAAGACAAGTTTCCTTTGTTCTATAAATAGTTTTAATGATTTTGAAAATGAACGCCTGTGCAGTTGACCACAGTCCTCACCACTCCTAATGTCTTACACCAGGTCAACTCAAAGAGCAAAGAGTGCAAATGGATCTGCTATGTGTGTGCTTGTGCTTTCATGTATGTACATACAAATCCTCACATGTGTGAATAAAACCTGCCATCTAACACCATATTAGTCTCTGTAATCCACACTCCAGGGCATTGGAACAAAATGGGCTCCCACAAGCTTTCATATAGTTTTTGGAGAGAATATGTCTCCTGACATATATAATCATACAATTACCTGTGTGCAAAGTTATGGGAAAGAAACAAGTCTGTAAGCATCTGTAAGTGTGGAAGTTATCTGCTGGCTTGGTTTTTGTGAGACCATTGGCATGACACCACTGAGGTTGTTCATACAAGTAAGTGTTCAGGGTAGGACTCTGCAAGGCATGGCTGTCCCAGCCTCTGGAGGCCAGGCCCTTAGGCAGAGGGTCTCAACCAGTGTGATCTTTCCTCACCATTCCACCCATTTTAGACCATGGGTACAAGAAGCCCTGCCTTGCCTCTGGGTTTCAGGAGAGCACACCTGTCAGTACCAGGGCCAAGGCAGTTCCTTTTACTTCTCTGCTTGTTGTTTTTCAGAAACAGAAAGATTGCTAGTGTACGTGGAGGCTTTTGCAGGACAGATACCAATACAGGAACTGAGATTAAAGAGTTAATTAAATATTATTGTTTGGTAAGTGATAGGATGTGTGCAACAAGAAACCATGGGAGAGTTCTGAGCAGAGAAGTGGCATAATCTTGCAGAAAAGTCTCAGTCTGGTACATCAAAGAGAGACTGTAAGGAGGGAAAGGCAGTAACGGAGGGTCCATTTAGAAGCTATGATGATAACAGAGGTAAAAGATGGCAGCGCATTGTTACTAGAGTGATACATATGAAGGGGAATGAGAAGTGAAGGAATTCCAAGTCTCTTTTGAAGGTAGAAATGACAGTATACATGAATGTGGGATGAGGGTGAGAGGAATCCAAAAATGTCTCCAAAGATTTTGGACTGAACAAGGGGAAGAATGGAGTTAATATTTCCTAGGATGGGGAAATTTATGGGAGGAGTGGATACAATGGAAAGGGAATCAGGGACTTAGTTATGTGTATCGTGAATTTGAATTTAAAATGACTTTCAGAGATCCAAGTGGTGATGTTGAATAGACAATGAAATATGAGCCTGGAGTCCAGAGAGAGGACTGAGCTTGAAACATTAATGTGTGATTCCGTTATGTGTGGGTACGATCAAAGACATGGATAGAACTGTGTATGATTCTTAGCAAGTGAGCATAGGTGACAAGAACATGTCTGAGAGGCCAACCCTAGAGCACTGCAATGCAAAGAAGTCAAAGCAGGGAGGAGTAACTACCCATGACTCTGAAAAGTAGCAGACACTGAACCAGAAGCACAACCAACAGTCAGAAATGTCCTGTAAAATAAGTGAGGAAAGTATTACTAGCAGGAAGAAGTGATCAATTGTCAAATTCTACTTTTCAGTCAAGTAAGACCAGTACTGATAAATGATCACTAGGTTTAGCAATATGCAGGTTATTTGGGGACCCTGAGAAGAGCTATTTCCATGGAGTGGTGGAGACAAAAGCTTGAGTGGGGTGGGTTCAAGAAAAAACATGAGAGTAGAGAAAGTGAAGAAATCAAGAACAGGTAATGATTTTTGAGGAACTTCTGTGTACAGGGCAAATAGATGATGCAGTAGATGGAGTGGGTTGTGCAGTTAAGGTGGGATGTTTTGTTTCTTTCTTGTTGTTGTTTTTTTTTGGTGTTTTGTCTTTATTTTTTGCATGGGAGACTTTGTGGAATGTTTATGTACTGATGGGAATCATCCAGTAGAGAAGGGTAAATTGGTGATGTAGGAAAGAGCACAGGAAGCATTGCTGGGATCATGCACTGAATAGTCAAGAAGGGGTATAATCTAGTGGCCAACTGTAGGAATGGGTTTTGATAGGAGTGTAGTGAGTTTATCCATTGTGGCAAGAGGCAAAGAAGAGTATCTAGTTACAGATGCAGGGAGGTGAGAAGTTTTTTAAGGCTTTTCTTTACTTTCATGTTCTCAATGTCATCAGTTGAGACTGTGGGTATTCCAGTAGTAGAAGGAGATTTGCAGAGGATAAGATGTGAACTGCAATGTCTAACATGGAGTGAGTAGACAGAGGATGTGCATGAGGTTGCACTACCATATTCTTGACACTATTCTAGGCACAAGGGATGCAGCCATGGAAATGCACATTTGGAGCATATGTCCACTCGTGCGTGTTAGTTTGGTAACAAGGTGGGGCAGGAAGAGGTATCTGGTCTCGTGTCCAGCTTCAAGGCAAAGGACACATATTCTGGGCAAAACACAGACCTTGGCCTCCACATAAAGCAAAATTCATTCTGACTACCCCTCACCTGGAGGCACAGGAATGGAAGATGGGAGGGGACTTTGTTGAAACACTGCAGGTCCTAGTGGCCAATTTTTTTGCAGTGAGATTTAAGGTATTTTCCTCCTAAGAGTCAGCCACTCTCCAATAGATACTCCAGTAACCTTTGCTGTCAAATGTCTGGCTCACCCTCCTACTCTGTCTGGCTTCTGGTTGCTATGGCAATGTGGCCAGGAGCACTGTTCTCCCAGTGTAAATGAGTGGAAGCCTGTGAATGTAGACAGGGGTGCACTGTGGGGACAGGGGGAAATTCTCGAAGGCAAGAATAGCCTAATATACTTAGGTCCTTTGGTGATTAACACCTCCCACAGCTCCTCCATTAAGCATTTACAGCAGCATTCCCAGAAGCTATGCGAGGTAGATTGCAAACAGGGAGCCTTAAAGCAGATAGCAGAGCCTTTTATTAGTGTCATTTCCCAGAAAAAAAAAAAAATCCAGTTTGTTAGGGAGATTTCACTTGCTCATGTTCCAAAGTTAGTATCACTGTGCTTTCACTAGTAGTGCTGTATCTTACAGGATTGCTCAGCACCAAGCACTATGAGAACCTTAAGTATAAACTAGGTAACTTTATAGGAACTGTGGATACTCAATGAAAAGGAAATGCTCCCAGGTGTGGGCTTGTGGCTAGGGCAGAGTTAGCCTAAGGGCACAAGCCCCTCCAATGTCCAATTCAGACATTCATCTTTAATAGGGGACAACCTTCCTTATTCTCACTCTCTTGTTTTCCTTCCATGAAGCACACGGAGACAAAGATAAAGTTAGGGTTGGGGTTTTGTCTGAAGTTCTGAGTTACTCATATACCCCTTCTCTCTAGCTGAGAGCCTCTTTGTCTCAATTCCATCAATCTTGCTCAGCCATCCAGGTTTCCAGACCCATAATCAGCATTGAATGTCAGTGTCAATGGGTTAATTTGCCTGGTGGCAGGTTGCTACAGCAATCCTACCAAGAGCTTTTCTTCCTGAATGAAATGAAAAGAGCATAAAAGAAGGGTGGGTGGCTGTCCATGTGGAGGAGGGGGAGAATTGTAATTTGAATATCCTAATTACAGTAATTAATAGACTTTTGAGATTAACAGGCCAAACTCACGGGCCAAGGCAGCAGGGGCCTTGACTGGGAAAAGAGAGCTTCAAACAAGTAGAAAATGGCCTTTGTTTCATGCAAGAAAATTTTGTAGAGTAAAGCTGAATGATTGATAAAAAAATGTGTCACCAGATTAGGAGTAGGATTCAGGGTGAGTTCAGTAATTGGCACTATTTAAAAATCTAGACACAAATTCTTTCATTTGAAGCATGTTGGCAGGGAGGTGTCCAGAATTATTTTCTTGAGAAGAGAATGGGCCTGGTGCCTCTCCCTCTGGCCTGGTGGCTGAGTGCACATGCCAAAGTGTTGACACCCTGCCCATGGCTCCTATGATGTCCAGGTCGGAGATGGTTTGAAGCATTCAGCTTCTCTGCTGCCCACATTTTTGCAGCTAAGTTCTGCCTTGGATTCTTTCTTTCAGCCTCTCTCCTCCAGCTAATATTCTGGACTCTATAATAAGCTTAAGAGTCTAATAACTCTGTCATGGCTTAATTTGCCCTAGCTGCTGGTTGCTATGGTGATGCAGCCAGGAGCTCTGCTCACTAAGTTAAGATAAGAGAGAACCTGATGTAGGTGGGGGACAGTGCATGGAGAGGGCCAAGATTGAAGTTGACAATAAGCTAATTACACTAACTGATAGGCTTTGCTGATGAAAAATCCATAAATACAGGCTCCAGGGCAAAGGTATGGAGAGCTTACCTGAGAAAATAAAGTATCAAGCATAAAGGAAAGGGCTTTTACTACATCCACTTTCAAGAAGCAATCCAGAGGAAAAGAAAAGGCTGTATCTGCTCAAGATCAGAGGATATGGACCTTATCAACACACAGGCATATTGGGGGATTAAGTTCTTCATTTGCAAGAGTCTAGGACTCATCCATTGTCAGTCATGGCTGTTTAGATGGGGAACTGAGGCTCAGAAGTGGAAAGGGACTAGAACTAAATCAAATGCTAGGTTAGTAGAAGAGCTGTGACTGGAGTTCATGGCCCTGGATCACCATGCCAGAGCTCTCTCTATGACCCCAACTTGCCTCCAGGTGGAGCCAAGGATGATCAAGTGCCTCATTTTACAGATGAAGACATGAATCTCAGAGAGGTGAATCAAACTGCCTGGGTCATACATTTTTTTCTGGGATGAGAACACAGTTCTCCTCGCTTTTAATGTAGATCAGGTAAATGGCCAGTCAGTCAAGAATTAGGTCAGAGACAGTGGAAACAGACAAAGGAGCACCTTACTCTACAGGGATTCTGCACAATTTGTAAGCCAGGGTAGGAAAGATTCTCAGTGATTCTAAGTGATGTGAAGGGATGGCTGCCATTAACAGAAAGAGAGGGAAAGGAACAAAGAAGAAAAAAAGACACACACAAAAAAATTCCCTTATTTATGACTGTGATTTTCTTTGGAAACAGTCCCTTCCTTGAGCAGTAGCTGGAAATAAGATTCAGAGGTTTTTCTCCCAGAATATCTTGCTAGAGAGCCTAGGGGAGTGTGATGCTAATTTGCAGGTGTCTGAGAGCACCCCTCACCCTCATCAGAATATAGATGGAAAAACGAGTATACCAGAGTGAGGAAATGGCATCCCAATATCAGACTCTGGTTAGAGCCAAAGCTGTAAGTGGATCCCAGCCCTCACGATGACCTTGCCAGGGTTCTGTCTAGCAGGAGTGTAGGCAGCAGGAAGAGCACTCTCTATGTGCCAGGCACTTCCATAGGGAAAGTATGATTACACCTGGGTGTCAAGAAATGGTGGTAGAGAGGCATACCCCATGCACTTTCCTGAAGGGACCTGGTTCCCCTTCCTCTGGCCTGTGGGCTAAGGATACATAGCTCCAACCAGGAATACTTTAAAGTATAGCAGGAGAAAATGATAACTGTGATCAGAATTGACATAGAAGAAGTTCAAAGTAAAAGGTGATAAGTTACCACTGGGGCCTTGTGAAAAACTTGGCTGATATATGCAAAGAACCAGAAGGTTTACAAGGATTACTTTAATAAAAATATTAGGAACACATGAGGTTGGGGAAATCGTGGAAACTGGATCAAATGTAGGAGACTCAGAGTCTTCCAGGGAAATGATAACCATAGGAAAGAGGAGACATGATGCAGGAGGGTCTCTGCAAGGATTAGCTGAATATTGATATATGGAGGGGTGGGGACAGCTGGAAATAGATCCTATGTGGATAACTGGAAGAGTACTGGGGCTGTTAACAGAAAATGAGAAGAGCAAAGGAGAGAGGAGGAAGAAGACAGGAAGAAGAAGAGAAAAAAGATGAAGACAAAAAGATGATGATGAAGAAGAAGAAAGTAATGAGGGATAAGGAGGAAGAAGAAGGAGGTAGAGGTGAAGAAAGAAAGAAGAGAAGTGAAGAGAAGGAAAAAAGACAGAAACTTGTCCCTCACTGTGATATTTGCTTGAAAAAATACAAGACACACAGCATGGCCTACCCCTACAGCAGCTAGAGCTGATCTATAGGTGTATATGTGTGTGCACACATATATGCACACATTTATAGAAAAGTGGTTGATACCCTGGCTGTTACTTCTGTCCTTGAGAAAAGCCCTTTCCTTCCATCCCTTGATCCCCACTTCTGCTCCAGTTAGAGCCTCTTTCTAGAAATCTTTCTAGGTTTCTGGCCTGTCCTAATCCTGATGGGCAGTATTGTTCCTTTTGAACACAAAGCAGAGCCATTCTGGGAAAGGTAGCCCTGGAGACCCCCACGAACAGGCATGCAAACCAGGAGCAGACAGATCTGGAAGGAGCAGACAGCTAGAGGATGGTGCAAGTGTGCATAGGCAGATAAGCAGGGAATGTCCACCGGTCCACAGGTGGGAGCTGCTTTCCCCTCTTTTACTTCAGCACAGCAAAACAGCCTCCTCAAAACTAGAAACAAACTATCGATTTCAGTCATTTCTCTTGGGAGGTCATGATATGAGAATTGCCAAGACCATGGTGGCAGGAGATCTTCTTTCTCTCTAACTTGCAAATAGGGAAGAGCTAGACATGGTCAGTATGAGGCAGTGACAATGTGCCTAAGTGAGAACTTATGAGGGACAGTCCCACGGTACCTTTAAAATTCTCACCCAAAGTTCTCCCATAGGCCTCTGTGTTTCAACATTTTTGTCATCTGTGATAGCCTACCTTTCTCCCAAAGGCTTTCAGTTGTCTGTAAATCAGAGCTCAAGGGAACATTGGCTACCCTTAGAATCATCAATGAGGTTTTGGTACACTGAGTGTTCATTCATGAAGGGCAGTTTGCCCTCACAATCTGGACCTTAATCTCCTGATTCTGGTCCCTAGGGAGGCATGGAGGAAACTGTCCTGCAGACCTCACCAGTGGGTGTATCTGATCTACCTGTTGCAAGAGTGAGACCCATGGAAGGTTTTCTCTCATGCAAGGTGTAGAGCTGGGGGACCACACAGGGCCAGGAGATGATCTTGAAAGAAAACAAACCCCTCCTTTGTCACCTGGAGGAACTTTTGCAAATTAATTTGACATCTGTTCCTTTGCCATCACATTGCAAATGTTGATTAATAGGGCATCAGTGGGCATTGTTACAGAGAAGTTGAATGTGTGAGTGGTGCTCATGACTCCAGGACTATTTCTGTATAGAACACAAGAAGCAATTTGTTAGCAAAAACTCTTGCAGCATCCTGTAACAGAGAGCAATGATAGTGCAAGATAGATAATCCAGGAAAAGCAGTTTCACATGATTTAGGGACAGAGACAGGCACAAAGCAAATTAGCACAGGAGTAGCATTCAGCACACTTAAAGAAAAAATGAACTATATGGCTCTAAGGTAATCAGCCCTATAACATCTGACAAGCTACTTGCCCGTTAGTCACTTAGCAGCCTTCTTGGTTACCAGATCAACAGAACACAAAAAGATGATCTTCCAGTTCCAAAAAAATGGCAGTATAAAAGCAACCTGGTTTAACTCACCTACCCTCCCTGAGTAAACCAAAATCAAACATACAGTGCCGAGATTGTTGCCAGCAATATCCCATAACTCAAATATGAAGATTAGGCAGCTCCAGGGACAGAGAGAAATGAAAAAAATCCAAACAGATAAGAGAATTAGATTTCTGCATCTGAAACACACAAACCTCAATCTGCCCTGCACCAAGAATGCAGAAAATTTTCCCCAAACTTATGTGTTCTACACTGGAATATCTGAGATCAAGGTGGACAAACAGCTTCTCCACCATCTTGAGTTCCTTGGCAGGAGACCTGATCCTGCCTTAAACCACGGGAAGCATCACAAATGCCCACAGGGAGAAATATCCCTGAGGACAGCCAGGCACAAGGGGGGAAGTGGGACTTTATCACCCACAGCCCTGAGAACTCTGCTCTGTAACTCAGCCAAAAAGGACCTCATTCAGAGTGGCTGTTCAGCAGCACCATGCTGTTAGTTGTTCATTCCACAGGGCCCCTGGGCACAACCCCTTAGTCAGCTTTCCCACACTATCTTGCATCCCATTTAAGACCTCCACCTTTGGGGATAAACAGTGCTAGGATCTGTTACTAAACCTTAAGCAAACCATGGCTTAAGGTACCATCTAGTGACAAACAAAAAGGCAGCAAGCCAGTGGGGCAGGGGAGTGGGAGGAAGAAATTCAAAAATTATAAAAAACTCTAGCAAAAAAAAACAAATGCAATAGAAAACAAAACAAGCCAGACAGAGAAGACTGGCATAAAAAAACTAATCTGTCAATGTGAATAAATAAACATACATTCACTAGGAACAATAGAAAACAAGATAGCATGACTTCCCCAAACGGTCAAAACAAGTATCCAGTGACGGACCTTAATGACATGTTAATACTGAGCTCTCTGACCAAAAATTCAAAATAGCAGTTTGAAGGAAATTTGATCTCCAAGGTAACACAGAAAAGCAATTCAGACACTTATGAGAGAAATTTGACAAAGAGATTGAAATAATTTTTTAAAATTAAATAAATCTTGGAAGTAAGGAATACATTTGCTGAATTGAAAAATTCATTAGAAGCTCTTAACTGCAGAATGGATCAAGCAGAGGAAAGAATCAGTGAGCTAAAACAACCTATTTGAAAATACAGTCTTGAGGACAAAAAAAAAAAGAATTAAAGATCACCTATGAAATAAAGAAAATTATTTCAAAAGACCAAATCTAAGAATTACTGGTGTTCATGAAAGAATTGAGCTAGAGGAAGAGGAAGAAATCTTATTCAAAGAAATAATAACAGAAAACTTTCCAAAACTAGAGAAATATGTAAATTTCCACCTATAGGAATGTAAGAGAACACCAAACAGATTGACCCAAATAAGATTACTCCAGGGAATATAATAATCAAACTCTCAATATTCAAGCACAAAAAGAGGATCCTAAAAGCAACAAAAGAAGTAAATAACATGTAAAAGTTCTTCAATTCATCCAGCAATAGACTTCTCAATGGAAACCATAGAAATCATTAGAAAGCAGGAGCATATTTTCAAAGTACTGAAAGACAAAAAAACTGCCATCCAAGAATCCTGTATGCTGCAGAGCTATCCTTCAAGTTGAGAGAATTAAGCACCACCAGACTTGTCTTACAAGAAGGACTAAAAGGAATTTTTCTGTCTAAAAAGAAGAAATGCCAATGTACAGAAAGAAAACATTTGAAGGTATAAATCCCACTGGTAAAATTAAGTATACAACTGTAAAACACTCTAATTCTCTAACTGTGCTGTATATTTCACTCAAAACTCTAGTATAAAGGTTAAAAGACAAATGTATCAAAGCTAATAATTGCTACAGTAACCTACTAAGAGATGGGCAATACTAAAATATGTAAATTGAGACAAAGAAATGTCAAAATGGGTTAGATGAAGTTAAATTGTAGAGTTTTAATTTTTAGTTTTTTCGTTGTTTCTATTCTATTTTTGTGATGTAAGGTAAGTCACCACCTTTTAAAAATAACTTGTTTTATCTGTATGATGTGTTTTGTAAACCTCATGGTAACTAAATGTGAAAACCTGTAATAGATACTCTAAAAATAAAAGGAAACAAATTAAAACATACTACCTCCGAAAATAACCACTAAGAAATACAGTAAAAAAAGAAAGAAAAGACATGAGTTACAAAACAACCAGAAAACAAGCAACAAAATGACAGTAGTAAGTCCTTACTTATTAAGGTAACAATAAATGTAAACAAACTCACTTCTCCAATTAAAAGACATGAAGTGCCTTGAATGGATAAAAAAACAAGATCCAATTATCTGCTGCCTACAAGATGCTCATATTACATGTAAAGACACACATAGTTGGAATGTGAAGGGATTGGAAAAGATACTCCATGCAAGTGGAAGCTAAAAAAGAGGAAATGTATCTATATTCATATCAAATAAAACATACTGCAAGTCAAAGACTCTACAAAGAGATGAGGAAAGTCACCATATAAAGTCAATTCAGCAGGAGAATATGACAAGTATAAATGTCCATGCACCTGAGAGCAGAGCACCCACATATACAAAGTCAACATTAATAGCTCTAAAAGGAGAGACAGACTACAATACAATGATAGTATGATACTTTCACACCCCACTCATTAATGCATAGATTGTCCAGACAGAAAATCAACAAAGAAACCTCAGTGTTAAACTACACAATAGACATAGGCCTAAGTGACATTTGCAGAATATTTCACACCATTGGTGAAGAATACATTTTCTTTTTATCATCATATGAAACATTCTCCATGTGGCTTAAGATAGACAAGTCTCAAGAAATCCAACAAAGTAGAATTTATATCATTATATCATTTCTGACCACAATGAAAACAAACTAGAAATTATTTACAAGAGAGATCTCAGAAATTATACAAAAACATGAGAATTTTGAAACATGCTCCAGAATGACCAATGAGTTCATGAAAAAAAATTAAGAAGAAAATTTTAAAATTTCTTTAATCCAATGAAAAGGAGAATATAACATCTCAAAATCCATGGGACACAACAAAAGCAGTACTAAGAGAGACGTTTACAGCAATAAATGCCTACACCAAAAAAAAAAAGTACTTCAAAAATATAACCTAACCATGGACCTCAGGGAAGTACAAAAGCAAAAACAAACCAATCCAAAATTAGTAGTAGAAGGAAAGAAACGGTAAAGAACAGAACAGCACTAAATGAAATTGAAACTAAAAACAATACAGAAAATCAACAAACAAAGTCATTTTTTAAAAAAGATAGACAAAATTGACAAACCTTTAGCTAGACTAAGAAAAACAGAGAGAAGACTCAGATAAATAAAATGATAAATGAAAAAGCAGACATAACACTTGAGACCCCAGAAATACAAAGAATCATTACAGACTATTAAAAATAACCATATGCCAACAAATGGAAAACCTAAAAGAAATAGGTAAATTCCTAGACACATGTAATTTACCAAGATTGAACCATGAAGAAATAGAAAGCTTCAAGGAACCAATAATGAGTAATGAAATCAAAGTCATAATTAAAATTCTCTCATCAATGAAAAGCCTAGGATCTGATGGCTTCACTGCTAAATTCTATCAAATATTTAAATAACTAATACCAACTCTCATCAAATTTTTCAAAAATTTGAAGAGGAGAGAACAAATCCAAACTCATTCTACAAAGCCAGCATTAACCTGATACCAAAATCAGACAAAGACACAACAACAAAAAAGACATTTAAAAGATCATTCACCACAATTGGGTGGGATTCATCTCAGGGATTCAAGGATGGTTCAACACATGCAAATGAATAAAAATGATACAATACATTTACAGAACCAGGAACAGAAGCCACGTGATCATTTCAATAGATGCTGAAAAAGCATTTGATAAAATGTAACATCGCTTTATGAAATAAAACCATCAATAAACTGGGTATACAAGAAACACACCTCAAAATAATAAAGGCCACTAAGACAAACCGAGCCCACATCACACTGAATGAGGAAAAGTTGGCACCCTTTTCTCTAAGATCTGGAACAAGAAAAGAATGCTCACTTTTACCACATTTATTAATTATTATATGGAGGTCCTGGCCAGAGCAATTGGGCAGGAGAAAGAAATAAAGAACATCCATATTGGAAAGGAATAAGTTAAATTAGCTTTATTCACAGATATGATAATACATTTAGAAAGCCCTAAACAATTCACCAAAAACCTGATACAACTGAGATGAATTCTGTAAAGTTGCAGGTTACAAAGTCAACATACAAAATTCAGCAGCACTTGTAAATGCCAGTAGCAAACAATCTGAAGAAGAAATCAAGAATGTAATCACATTTGTAATACCTACAAAAATATATAATAACTAGGAATGAATATAATCAAAGAAGTGAAATGTTTATACAAAATGTATAAAACATTGATGAAAGAAATTGAAGAAAACACACACAAGAAAAAGATACTCCATGTTCATGGATTTTAAAAATCTAATATTTTTTAAATGTCAATAATACCCAAAGCAATTTACAGATCCAACACATTCCCTATCAAAATGCCAATAACATTTTTCACAGATGTAGAAGAAAGTAATCCTAAAATTTATATGGAACCACAAAAGACCCCTAACAGACAACGTACTCTTGAGCTAATAAATAAACAAACAAAGCAGGAAGCATCACATGATCTGGCTCCAAAATACATTACAAAGCTGTAGTAATAAAATCAGCATGGTATTGCCCTAAAAATTGACATATAGACCAATGAAACAGAAAAGAAAAACCAAATATAAATCCACACATTTACAGCCCACTTACTTTAGACAGAGATACCGGGAGCATTCAATGGGAAAAGGACAATCTCTTCAATAAATGGGGCTCAGAAAACCATATGCAGAAAAATAAAACCAGAACCCTATGTCTCACCATATACAAAAATTAAATAAAAATGGACTGAAGAATTAAATACAAGACATGAAACTATGAAACTGCTACAAGAGAACTTTGGGAAAATCCTCTGGAACATTGGTCTGAGTAAAGATTTTTTGAGTAAGACTGCAAAATCACAGGCAACCAAAGTAAAAATACACAAACGGTGTTACATCAAGGTAAAAAGCTTCTGCACAGCAAAGAAAACAATCGATGAAGTAGAGAAACAATGCACTGAATGGGAGAAAATATTTACAAACTATCCGTCTGACAAGAGAATAATAACCAGAATATACCAGGAGCTCAAACAAATAAATAGCAAAAAAAAAAAAAAAAAAAAAAAAAAAAAAAAAAAAAACCCATATAATCTAATTTTAAAATGGGCAAATGCACTACTAGGTATCTACCCAGAGGAAAAGAAGACATTATACCAAAAAAGATACTTGCACATGCATGCTTATAGCAGCACAATTCACAATTGCAAAATCGTGGAACCAACCCAAATGTCTATCAATCAATGAGTAGATAAAGAAACTGTGGTATGTATACATAAGATGGAACACTACTCAGCCATAAAAAGGAATGAATTAACAGCATTTGCAGCGATCTGGATGAGATTGGAGACCTTATTCTAAGTGAAGTAAATCAGGAATGGAAAACCAAACATCGTATGTTCTCACTGATATGTGGGAGCTAAGCTATGAGAACGCAAAGGCATAATAATGATACAGTGGACTGTGGGGACTTGAGGGAAGAGTGGGAGGGGGCGAGGGATAAAAGACTATGAATATGGTGCAGTGTATGCTGCTTGGGTGCACCAAAATCTCAAAAATCACCACTAAAGAACTTACTCATGTAACCAAATACTACCTGTACCCTAATAACTTATGGAAAAAATAAAATAAACATAAACATATAAAACTAAAAAATAAATAAATATGGGCAAATGGTCTGAATAGATATTTATCAAAGGAAGACCTACGAATGACCAAAAGGTATATGAAATAATGCTCAACATCACTAATTATCAGGGAAATGCAAATCAAAATCACAATAATGTGTCATCTCACCCCAGTTAAAATGGCTTTGATCAAAAAGACAGGGAATAATGGATGCTGGTGAGGGTAAGAAGAAAGGGGATCTTGTACCCTGTGGGTGAGAATGTAAGTTAGTATACCCACTATGAAAAACAGTATGGAGGGTCCTCAAAAAAACTAAAAACTAGAACTACCATATGATTCAGCACTTCCACCCCAGGTATATATCCAAAAGAAAGGAAATCAATATATTGAAGTGATATCCACATGTTCATGTTTACTATAGCACTATTCACAATAGCCAAAATATGGAATCAACCTAAGTATCCTTCAGTGGATGAATTGATAAAGAAACTGTGTTATGTAAAAACACTGAGATATTATTCATCCATAAAAAGGGTTGAAATACTGTCATTTGTAGCGACATGGATGAAACTGGTGGTCATTATGTTTTATAAAAATTAGTAAAAAATAAAAGCTGGGAATAAATGAGAACTTTATCAATTTCATAAAGAATAGCTGCAAAAACCTTTAGCTCCCCTCATACTTAATGGCGATATCCCTTACTGTCTTTTTAATGTCTATAATATCTGCACAGTTGACTCATGTTTTATAATTCACACTAATTACTCATGTTTCCTGGCTTTTTTCATCATCAGTCTTGCTAAGAGACTGTCAAGATTAATAATCTTGCCATGAATTCATGTATTGTTTGTTGGCTTTTTGTATTGTTCATTAAAAAAAACATTTTATTGTGGTAAGAAGGCCCAACATAAAATTTACCCTCTCTTTTGGGAAGTGGATGTTCATATCCTTTGCCCACTTTTTGATGGGGTTGTTTGTTTTTTTCTTGTACATTTGTTTAAGATCCCTGTAGATTCCGGATATTAGAACTTTATCAGATTGGTAGATTGCAAAAATTTTCTCCCATTCTGTAGGTTGCCTGTTCACTGTGATGATAGTTTCTTTTGCTCTGCAGAAACTCTTTAGTTTAATTAGATCCCATTTGTCAAGTTTGGCTTTTTTTGACATTGCTTTTGGTGTTTTAGACATGAAGTCTTTACCCATGCCTAAGTCCTGAATGGTATTTTCCAGGTTTTCTTCTAGGATTTTTATGGTCCTAGGTCTTACGTTTAAGTTTTTGATCCATCTTGAGTTGATTTTTGTATAAGGTGTAAGGAAGGGGTCCAGTTTCAGTTTTCTGCATATGGCTAGCCAGTTTTCTCAACAACATTTATTAAATAAGAAATCTTTTCCCCATTGCTTGTTTGTGTCAGGTTTTTCAAAAACCAGATGGTTGTAGATGTGTGGTGTTTTTTCTGAGGCCTCTCTTCTGTTCCATTGGTCTATATATCTGTTTTGGTACCAGTACCATCCTGTTTTAGTTACTGTAGCCTTGTAGTATAGTTTGAAGTCAGGTAGCAAGATGACTCCAGCTTTTATGCAGCTAAGAAACATATGAAAAAAAACTCACCATCACTGATTATTAGAGAAATGCAAATCAAAACCACAATGAGATACCATCTCTCACCAGTCAGAATGGTGATCATTAAAAAGTCAGGAAACAATAGATGCTGGGGAGGCTGTGGAGAAATAGGTGTTCTTTTACACTATTGGTGGGAGTTTTAATTAGTTCAACCATTGTAGAAGACTGTATGGCTATTCCTCAAGTATCTAGAACCAGAAATAGCATTTGACCCAGCAATCTCATTACTGGGTATATAACCAAAGGATTATAAATTATTCTACTGTAAAGACACATGCACATGTATGTTTACTGCAGCACTATTTGCAATAGCGAAGAGTTGGAACTAACCCAAATGCTTATCAATGTTAGACTGCATAAAGTAAATGTGGCACATATACACCATGGAATACTATGCAGCCATAAAAAAGAATGAGATCATGTCCTTTGCAGGGACATGAATGAAGCTGGAAACCATTATTATCAGCAAGCCAACACAGGAACAGAAAGCCAAACACCACATGTTATCACTCATAAATAGGAGTTGAACAATGAGAACACATTGACACAGGGAGGGTACAATGCATTATTGTTGACTATAGGTACCATGTTGTATAGCAGAACTTTAAAGCCCATTTATACTACTTGACTAAAACCTTATGACCATTGATTTATAACTTCTCCTCCCTTCAACTCCGAGAAACCTCCATTTCACTCTCGGATACCATGAGCCTGACTAGTTCAGACATCTCATTTAAGTGGAATTATGAAGTATTTGTCTTTCTGTGACTGACTTATTTCACTTAGTACAATATCCTTAAGGTTCATAAATGTTGTCACATATTTCAGGTGTTCCTTATTTTTAAAGGTTGAATACTATTCAGTTTCTGTGCATACAACATTTTATGTATCCATTCATCTGTTGATGGACATTTAGGTTGTTTCCCACATCTTGGCTATTGTGAATAGTGCTGCAGTGAGTATAGGAGTGTTGCTATAACTTCAAGCTCCTGATTTCAATTTTTTTGAATAAATACTCAGAAGTGGGATTGCTGAAATATATGGTAGTTCTATTTTTAAGCTTTTAGGAATCTCCATATTGTATTCCATAGTGACTGCACCGTTTTGCATTCTCACAATCTTTGTACAACGGTTCCAATTTTGTCACATCCTCACCAACACTTGTGTTGTTTTTTTTTTTTTAATAATAGTAATCTTGAGAAGTGGTAGGTAATATCTTACTGTGGTTTTGATTTGCATTCCCCTGATGCATTTTTAAAGTATACCTGTTGGCCTTCTCTGACTTCTTTGGGAAAACGTCTATTCAAGTTCTTAACCAGTTTTTAATGAGATTTTTAAATTTTTTACTACTGAGTTGTAGGATTTTCTTATTTATTTATTTATTTATTTTTATTATTATACTTTAAGTTTTAGGGTACATGTGCACGTTGTGCAGGTTAGTTACATACGTATACATGTGCCATGCTGGTGTGCTGCACGCACTAACTCGTCATCTAGCATTAGGTATATCTCCCAATGCTATCCCTCCCCCTCCCCCCACACCACAACAGTCCCCAGAGTGTGATGTTCTCCTTCCTGTGTCCATGTGATCTCATTATACATTTTGGAGATAAACCTCTTGTCAGATATATGGTTTACAAATATTTTCTCTAATGTCACATGTTGCCTATTCACTGTTGATTGTTTCCTTTGTAGTGCAGAAGATTTTTAGTTTAATATCGTACCATTCTTTAATTTATTTTTTTTTGCCTTTGCTTTCGGTGTCATATCCACGAAATCATTGTGAAGACCAATGTCCTATAGTTTTTTCCTGTTTACTTCTAAGAATTTTATAGTTTTCAGTCTTCTGTTTAAGTCTTTAATCCATTTTGAGTTCATTTTTTCTGAATTGTTGAAGATGAAAATTCAGTTTCATTCTTTGCATGTGAATATCCTGTTTTCCCGACACCAATTGCTTTTCCTCATTGTATATTCTTTGTGCCCCTGTTGAAGATCAGTTCACTTTATATGTGTGCATTTATTTCTGGGCTCTGTATTCTGTTCCATTGTTCTTTGTGTCTGTTTTTATTTCAGAACCATACTCTTTTGTTTATCGTGTATTTGTATTATATTTTTAAATCAGAAAGGGTGATGATTCTAGCTTTGTTCTTTCTCATGGTTGATTTGGCTATTTATAGTCTTTTGTGGTTCTATATAAATTTTAAAATTGTTCTGTTTCTGTAAAAAATGCCATTGAGATTTTGATATGGATTGCATTCAATTTGTAGATCTTTTTGAGTAATATAAACATATTAACAATATTAGATCTTACAAGCCACAAACACAAGGTGATTTTCCACTTGTTTCACCTTATTTGATTTCTTTTATTAATGTTTTATAGCTTTCAGTATATGAGTCTTTCATCTTCTTGGTTACATTTATTCCTAAAAAAATTTTTTGGTGCTATTGTAAATGGGATTTTTTTCCTAATTTTTTTTTCAGAGGGGTCATTGTTCATGTGCATAAATGCAACTTATTTTTGTATGTTGATATTGTTACCTGCAGCCTTACTGAATTTATTTATTAACCTTAACAGTTTTTAGGAGTCTTTAGCATTTTCTATATATAAAATCATGTCATCTGCAAACGGACAATACACATATTCTGAATTGAATATATTTTTTTTCTTGCCTAATTGCTCTGACTAGGATTTCCAGTACTATGTTGAATAGAAATGGTGAAAGTAGGCATTCTTTTTTTTATTATTATACTTTAAGTTTTAGGGTACATGTGCACAACGTAGGCATTCTTGCCTTGTTTCTAAACTTAGAGGAAAAGCTTTCAGTTTCTCACCATTGAGTATGCTGTTGAGTGGCTTGCCCTTTTGGTTGCCTGGTGAGATATAATAATGATGGTCATGCTGAGCTCTGAGAGTAAAATGGAAGCAGCAGTACACTCAGGAGGGACCAAAATATCCCACCCCTTCCTTCCTCATCAACTTTTGATTTGTGGATCCTCAAGGCTGAATGGACCTGGAAGCCCGCTGTCTGTATAAAGACATTCATTTATAGCATTCCATTTCAAGTAATTGAGTTTGCATATCTATATCAAACAAAGGGTCCTCCAGACTCCCTTCACATTATAGATCCCTCTAAACAGTTTCAAAGTGGGACAACAGAAAGTGTTTGCTTTCCATCAATTCTTTAGGTAATTTTGAGTTACATCTCGAAGCTGAGGAGTCCCATCAGAACCTATTGGGAATAGCCACCATTAACCTAGAAAGAGATCACATCATTGCATCAGGAAATTCATCATTGGTTTCTCTCCACCAAGTATTCCTACATGTTTCCTATATTTTTCTCTCTTTACATTCCAGGGGTAATATTGACATGTTGAAAAAATAATGAGTTTATAATTTACTTATTTGCTGTCTTTCTTGAAAATGTTTTTCCAAGGTGGCAGACAAGAGGCTTTGTTGGAACACCTCAGCCAGTTGGAATGAGCAAAAAAAGTGTGTAGAGATTCACACTGTGAACTTTTATCCAAGATCAAAAACAGGAGCTCAATAGAAAGAGTGAAAGAATCTTCAAATACTTTTTATTTTATTTTATTTTTTATTTTTTAGGGTATAGAATTTCTTTTTTTTAATTTTTATTTTGTTATTATTATACTTTAAGTTTTAGGGTACATGTGCACAATGTGCAGGTTAGTTACATATGTATACATGTGACATGCTGGTGTGCTGCACCCATCAACCCGTCATCCAGCATTAGGTATATCTCCCAATGTTATCCCTCCCCCCTCCCCCCACCCTACAACAGTCCTCAGAGTGTGATGTTCCCCTTCCTGTGTCCATGTGTTCTCATTGTTCAATTCCCATCTATGAGTGAGAACATGCGGTGTTTGGTTTTTTGTCCTTGTGAAAGTTTACTGAGAATGATGATTTCCAATTTCATCCATGTCCCTACAAAGGACATGAACTCATCATTTTTTATGGCTGCATAGTATTCCATGGTGTATATGTGCCACATTTTCTTAATCCAGTCTATCATTGTTGGACATTTGGTTGGGTTCCAAGTCTTTGCTATTGTGAATAGTGCAGCAATAAACATACGTGTGCATGTGTCTTTATAGCAGCATGATTTATAGTCTTTTGGGTATATACCCAGTAATGGGATGGCTGGGTCAAATGGTATTTCTAGTTCTAGATCCCTGAGGAATCGCCACACTGACTTCCACAATGGTTGAACTAGTTTACAGTCCCACCAACAGTGTAAAAGTGTTCCTATTTCTCCACATCCTCTCCAGCACCTATTGTTTCCTGACTTTTTAATGATCGCCATTCTAACTGGTGTGAAATGGTATCTCACTGTGGTTTTGATTTGCATTTCTCTGATGGCCAGTGATGATGAGCATTTTTTCCTGTGTTTTTTGGCTGCATAAATGTCTTCTTTTGAGAAGTGTCTGTTCATGTCCTTCACCTACTTTTTGATGGGGTTGTTTGTTTTTTTCTTGTAAATTTGTTTGAGTTCATTGTAGATTCTGGATATTAGCCCTTTGTCAGATGAGTAGGTTGTGAAAATTTTCTCCCATTTTATAGGTTGCCTGTTTATTATTTTTATTATTTTTTATTATACTTTAAGTTCTGGGATACATGTGCAGAATGTGCAGGTTTGTTACATAGGTATACATGTGCCATGGTGGTTTGCTGCACCCATCAACCTGTCATATACATTAGGTATTTCTCCTAATGCTATCCCTCCCCTAGCCCCCCACCCCCCAACAAGCCCTGGTGTGTGATGTTCCCCTCCCTGTGTCCATGCCATGTGTTCTCATTTTTCACCTCCCACTTATGAGTGAGAACATGCAGTGTTTGGTTCTCTTTTTAAAAGTGGCAGGTCTGGTAGAAAACTGGAAGTCTTCAGAGCATGAAAGCAGGGAGAGACTGTCTCCACAATACACATTCTCACTGGAGAACCAGGAAATTCAGGCCATGGAGTGCTCCTTGACTCTGCCTTCAAGTAATGGATCTCACTTGGTGAGTGGAGGAAGAAAGATTCTTCCCAGGGCCTGAAAGCTTGAAGGGATGAGTAACTCCTCCCTTTTTAGGCCCAGTCCCAAGGCACAAGGCCACTTGTGTTAGCAGCATGCATCAGCAAGATAGCAGAAACAGGAAGAGAGCTGTCTGGAAGACACCTACCCTGGCTGGAAGACACCTGCCCTGGCTGTAAAACACCTACCCTGGCCAGTAGACACATACCCCTGAAGATCAAGAAAGAGGACATCTGGTTACCACATAGCAGTTACATCAGACTGGGACACTTCCTGTTTACTGGAGACTATAAAACCCCTGCCCTGTCCTCACTTGGGGCTGATGCCATTTTAGGCCTCAGCCTGCCTGCACCCAGGTGCTCATTAAAACACCATGTTGCTCCACACTGCCTCATGTTGACTGTTGGTGTGCTCTTGGCATTTGAACCAATACAAGAACCTTTCATCTGGTGCCAAAACCCGGGAGGAGCTCAGGTCTGCATCCCCTATGGGCTTACCCCTCCACCCCAGTGAGCAGGCCACAGCTGTTGGACAAAGGAAGCTCCTCAGCCTCCAGTTGCCTCTGTGCATGCACATTGGTCACTGATCTCACCTACTGGTAAGTTTCCCCAGGAGCCCAGTTAACAGAGAAAAAGCCATATGGCCTCTCTTTGTTTCTGCAGTCCGAAAATCCAACGTTGGTCCAAGAAGGCTTCGGTGTGTGCCAGGCACTCACTGATCATCTGGTCTTAGGGGGATGCCTCTAAGCCATTTGATCCTATTCCAGGAATGAAAAAGGCAGCGGTGATAATTGCTCCTTTTATCCTCTCCCTCCAGCTTTCCAGGATGGTCTCCTTTTTCTTTGTTCTCCTGAGTTGACCCTCCATTATGGGAAACTCCTGGTCCTCCATTCCAAAAAACAGCCCTGTAGGCTGCCTCATAAAAAATCTGCAAACCTTAGGCCTCAGGCAATATATCTGCCCTAAGTGCCTTGTCTTTTTTGCAATACAGGCTGGCTGCAGTATGAATTAGATAATGGGTCCAAATGGTCCGCAAATGGAACATTCAACTTTACAATTTTAACTGACTTAAGCAATTATTGCTAATGAGTGGAAAAATGGGGAAAATGCCCTATGTCCAGTCTTTTTTTGCACTCATATTACAACCAGACCTCTACAATTTTTGCTCACCTGTTCAAATCCTTCTCCTCCATTCTCACCACCCAGATTGTCTTTCTCTTCCCGACCCTACCTGTTTTCCCTCGTTCCATCCAGCTGACTGCTGTCCACCCCTCCCAGCCCCTATCTCTTCCTCTCAACCACTTCTGGCTTCTTCCTTCTCTCCTGCCCATACTCGCTCAGGAGCCACCTTTGCCCCATGCCCCACCCTTACTCCAGCACCAGTGCTAGAGTGCCCCCTTCGGGAAGTTGCGGGATCTGAGGGTATTGTTAGAGTTCATGTTCCCTTCTCCCTTGCTGATCTCTCTCAAATTAACAAAAGACTCAGTTCATTTCCAGAAAACCCTACCCCTTATATTAGGGAGTTTCAGTACCTTACCCAGTCTAATGAACTAACCTGCCATGACCTCTATGTTATCCTCTCTTCCACCCTTAGCCCAGAAGACCAAGACCGTATCTGGACCCTAGCTCTGGCACATGCTGATACAATTCATCACCAAGCTCCTGCCCAGCCTACTGGTGAAGAGGCAGTCCCCAAACAGGATCCCACTGGGATTATCAAGACGGGGCCTCTGGATGCTGCCATCAAGACCACATGATTGTGTGTCTCCTTGCAGGACTCAAAAAGCATGCCCATAAAGTGGTAAACTATGAAAAATTTTCGGAAATCACCCAAGGTCCTGATGAAAACCCAGCCCTTTTTCTCTCTCCCAACCAGCCCAGAGGGAACCACTATCTTAATCCTTCGGTTCATCTCCCAATCCACCCCCAGTATTCGGCACAAGCCTCAGAAGCTTGATGACAGCCCTCAAACCCCACAATGAGACCTTCTTAATTTAGCCTTCAAAGTCTTTAACAATCGTGATGAGGAAAGTAAAAGGCAAAAACAGGCAGTTTCAAATGCTTGCCTCCACCATCAGAGGCCCTGCAGGCCCACAGGGCTGCAGCTCCACGTGGAAGCCTCCTGGCAATCCACCTCCACCTGGTGCCTGTTTCAAGTGCGGCAATGAAGGCCACTGGTCCAGACAATGCCCAAACCCAGGTAAGCCCACCAGGCTGTGCCCCCTCTGTGAAGGATCCCACTGGAAGTCAGACTGTGAGTGACCACTGCAATAATTCCCCCCATCCCTTCCTGAGCTGGCCCTCTTATTCTTATTCAATGGCTCTCATCAGCAAACTTCTTCAAGCTGCCAGATTCCCACAGAAAGTTGCCATCACTATTGAAAACCTCCTACTTGGATCTCATCAGCCTTGCCGCTGAAGACTGATGGTGCCCTAGAGCAGACACCCTGGCAACTACCATCGCTTCATCCAAGCCAAGGGTAACCCTGATGGTAGCAAGTAGGCCAGTATGTTTTTTAATTGATACTGGGGTGACCTACTCTGCTTTACCTAATTTTTCAGGACCCAGTCTTCCCAAGTCTCTGTTGTGGGAATTGATGGACAAGTCTCCAAACCCCAAGCCACCCCTCCACTCTTCTGCTCCTTTTGCATCTTTTCCTTCACTTACTCTTTCTTACTCCTGCCCTCATGCCCAACTCCTCTCCTAGGTAGAGACATCCTTTCAAAACTCCAGTCTACTCTCCATTTCCACATTCCCCATAGTACCCAATGCATCCACACAGACCCCTCTGGAACTTCCAGTTTTCTTCTACTCCTTCGACCTCCCACCCTAAAACATGCAACCTTTCCTTATCCCCCATCCATAGTTAACCCCACTGTTTGGGATACTTCCACACCCTAATAACAAAACACCACATCCCTGTCCTCATCCCCTTAAAAACCCCACCCAGTTCCTATCACAGGAGCAGTATCCAATCCCCCAAGCAGCTCTCATAGGCCTAAAGCCTATCATTTCTCACCTCCCCGCCAGTCACCTACTCTGCCCAACAAACTCCCATTTTAACACACCAATTCTACCTCTTAAAAAGCCAGATGTAACATCACTTAGTCTAGGACCTCAGGCTCATTAACCAAGCTGTACTCCCAGTATGTCCAGTAGTTCCTAACCCATACACTTTACTTTCCAAGACTCCCTCCAATACTACCCATTTTTCTGTCCTAGACCTAAAAGATGCCTTTTTCATAATTTCTTTACATCCTGATTCTCAAGACCTCTTTGCCTTTATGTGGGAAGACCCCAACACCCACTTTTCACACCAGCTCACTTGGTGCATACTACCTCAAGGTTTCAGAGACAGCCCTCACCTTTTTGGACAGGCCTTTGCTCATGACTTCTGTGCCTTATCCCTAAAACCGTCCACTCTTATTCAATATGTTGATGATCTGCTCCTGTGTAGTCCCTCTCAAAATACTGGAACTCCTGTACTATCTCTCTTTTATACTTCCTGGCAGAATGCGGTGTTGATTCTCCCCTAGAAAAACACTAATATGCACCCCCTCAGTTACCTACCTAGGCCTAGCCCTTACCCTGCAAACCCAAGGGCTTACAACCGACTGCATATCCCTCCTCCAGTCCCTCCCACCTCTGCAAACTAAGTAAGAAATTCTCTCTTTTCTAGGACTAGAGGGATATTTTAGGCCCTGGGTTCCCTCCTTCACTCTACTTGCCAAATCGTTATACCAAGCTGCTGAAGGTCCTCTCCAAGAGCCTTTAAACCCTGCACAGACTATTATCCAACCTTTCCATCTACTCCAAAAGGCTCTCATCTCAGCCCCAATCCTCACTCTTCCAGACCTTACCAAACCTTTATTCCTCTATACCAATGAACAGCATGGAGTTGCAGTAGGTGTTCTAAGCCAGTCTAAGGGACCCACCCTCCAGATTGTTGTCTATGTCTCTAAACAGCTTGAAGCCACAGTTCTCAGATGGCCTGCCTGTCTCTGAGTATTGGCAGCCGCTGCTGTCCTCAAACTTGAAAGCCTAAAACTATCTCTTCTTGCCAACCTAACAGTTTATTCAACCCATAACATCGAAAACATGTTAGCTCACCGCTGTGTACTACATCTTATCTCTGCCCCACAGCTTCTCCAACTATATGCTGTATTCATAGAAACTCCCCATATCACCATGCTAACCAGCTCATCTAAACCTGGCCATGCTCTTACCTGAAGCTTCTACCTCTCAAGACCCTGCACACTTCTTCGTGGACACTGTTCAAACCTTTCCAAACACAACAGACCACCCCCTTCCAGATGCTTCCTTTACTTGGTTTGTGGACAGCAGTTCCTTCCTACACCAAGAGCGCTGACATGCTGGCTATGCTATAGTGTCACCACCCCCCCCACCAACACTCTTGAAGCCAATCTACTCCCTGTAGGCACCACCCCAAAAAGCTGAACTCATTGTTCTCACTCGAGCTCTCACTCTAGCAGCTGGACAACAAATTAACATATATTCGGATTCTTGTTATGCATTCCATATAGTACATTCACACTCGTCTCTCTGGAAAGAATGGGGTTTCCTAACTCCAAAAAACACTCCTGTCATAAATGGCTTTCTCATCAGCAAACTCCTTCAAGCTGCCAGACTCCTGCAGAAAGTTGCCATCATTCATTGCAGGGGTCACCAAACCCCAGCCAATCCTATATCAGCCAGAAATGCTTTAGCAGATGAGGTAGCCAAACAAGTAGCCCTACAACCTGTGCAAGGTGAGTTTCTGTCCCTGTCCTTGTTCTCTCCTCTTTACTCCTCAGAAGAAAAGGAGGACTTCCAGGCCCAGAACCTCCAAAAGCAAGGACCATGGTATGTCAAGGAAGGGCGCTTCATTCTTTCTCGCTCTCAAACAATTTCTATCCTCCAAAGCCTCCACAACCCTTTCCATGTCAGTTACAAACCTCTCTTGCAACTTCTCTGCTCTATTCTCACTTGTCCTCACCTTTCCAGCTGTGTTTGAGAGATCACCCAGTCCTGCTGTATCTCCCACTCAGTGTCACCCCAGGGATCCCTCTGGCCACTGCCTTTTCCTATCCACCAAGCCTGGGGCCAAATACCCAGGCAAGATTGGCAAGTAGACTTCACTCACATGCCAACTGATAAATGGCTCCGCTATCTTCTAGTCTTTGTCTGTACTTTCTCCAGGTGGGTAGAAGCATTCCCAACAATTTCAGAAGGTGTAAATATCATCACACAAACTCTCATCATGCATGTAATTCCCCGTTTCAGACTTGTAACATCCATCCAGTCCAATAACGGGCCCGTCTTCAACAGCCAAATTACCCAAGGCATCTCAAACATCAGAAAAGTAGCCCATGTACCAGTTCAAACCTGGAAAGGATGGGACCTAGTAAACCCTCTAGGAGGGTGGTTCTCTAATTCAGGAGGATTTAAAGCGCTGGTAGGGACAGTAATCTTTATCACTGGGCTCCTCCTGTTTCTCCTCTGTGTTATCCCACTAATAACAAAAGCCATTAAAACTCTTGTTGAAACTACAGTTAGCCACCAGACAATCCAGACAATGCTCCTGCTATGACACTATGGATACCAACCCATCTTTCAAGAATACCCCCAAAATTAAGGTTTTCTTTTTCCAAAGTGCCCACGCCACCCCATACATCACGTCTGAAGTAGTTACTGAGAAAGTTGCCCCTTTCCCCTTTTTTCTATAACCAAATAGACAGGAATGAAAGATTCTCCCTGGGGCCTGAAAGCTTGAAGGGATGAGTAACTGTTCCCTTATCAGGTCCAGTCCCAAGGCGCAAGGCCACTTGGGCCAGCAGTGTGCATCAGCAAGATAGCAGAAACAGGAAGAGAGCCAGCTGGAAGACACCCACCCTGGCTGGAAGACACCTGCCCTAGCCGGAAGACACCTACCCTGGCCAGAAGATACATACCCCTGAAGATCGAGAAAGAGGCCATCTGGTTACCACGTAGCAGTTCCGTCAGACTGGGACACTTCCTGTTTACAGGAGACTATAAAATCTCTGCCCCATCCTCACTTGGGGCTGACGCCATTTTAGGCCTCAGCCTGCCTGCACCCAGGCACTCATTAAAATAGAGTGTTGCTCCACACTGCCTCATGTTGTCTGTTGGTGTGCTGTCAGGGTTTGAACCAATACAAGAACCTTTCAGAGAAGAGTCTGTGAGAAACAGTGGCATTGGGGAATGTTTTGTGTGTACTCCCAGACATTTGCACCAATAGAAGGAAACCATTTCTGACCCTAATTCATAGGAAATCTCACAGAAATCTGCCAGCCAACACATACATTGGTCACAAGTTGAAGGAGGCCCTCAACTGAGGTTTATGATCTAATTTACAGGGGGGATAAACCCCCATAATGAGAACTAGGAGGTTAGCAGGGAGTGGGCTGTTGCAGTAGATGCAGGAATTGAGCACTCCCTATTTGTGGGCCTGGACCGCTAGAGTTGTGACCTGAGAGCCATGGTTTCTTTCTCAGGAAAGGGAGAATTGTGGCCTGGGGCAATTTTGCAATCTGAGCAGAGAATACTTGGAATCCAGCTAGCTGTTTCAGCTTGCTGCTACTGGTAGACCACTGGGTCAAGGGTGTGGTAGCTTGGTGCCTCTTACTAACACTTCCTGGGCTGTGGAGCCTGAGTTATCCTCTCTTTCCCATGTGGGCCCTTTTGAGTGGCAAAGGTGGTTCTACTCCTTCCTGCAACATTGCCTAAGGGGCAAGGGAACTGACTTTCAACCCTGTTAGACTTCCTCTCACATCCACCATTGGACAGCCTGAACATAGCCTTGTCTGACTTATGCCTCCCCAGCTTTTCCCCTCCCACCTTTCTCAGTTGTAGAACATGGGAGAGGTACCTTTGAGAGTTCCATGGCTCCACCCATTGATGAGATATATGAGTACTTTCTCTAGTCAACAGAGGTGAAGCATAAATTCTACTGCTACCACCAGAGCTGGCTTTCACCTGCAAGTGTCATCTATTGGCTGGGAGTCCACCTTGCACAGCTCATCAATATCGTGAAAATGGCCACACTACCCAAGGTAATTTATACATTCAATGCCATCCCCATCAAGATACCAATTACTTTCTTCACAGAATTGGAAAAAACTAATTTAAAGTTCATATGGAATCAAAAAGGAGCCCACATTGCCAAGTGAATCGTAAGCCAAAAGAACAAAGCTGGAGGCATCATGCTACCTGACTTCAAACTATACTACAATGCTACAGTAACCAAAACAACATGGTACTGGTACCAAAACAGACATATAGGTCAATGGAACAGAACAGAGGCCTCAGAAATAATACCACACATCTACAACTATCTGATGTTTGACAAACCTGACAAAAATAAGAAATGGGGAAGGGATTCCCTATTTAACAAATGGTGCTGGGAAAACTGGCTAGCCATATGTAGAAAGCTGAAACTGGATCCCTTCCTTACACCTTATACAAAAATCAATTCAAGATGGATTAAAGACTTAAATGTTAGATGTAAAACCATAAAAACCCTGGAAGAAAACCTAGGCAATACCATTCAGGACATAGGCATGGGCAAGGACTTCATGTCCAAAACACCAAAAGCAATGACAACAAAAGCCTAAATTGACAAATGGGATCTAATTAAACTAAAGAGCTTCTGCACAGCAAAAGAAACTACCATCAGAGTGAACAGGCAACCTACAGAATGGGAGAAAATTGTTGCAATCTACTCATCTGACAAAGGGCTAATATCCAGAATCTACAATGAACTCAAACAAATTTACAAGAAAAAGACAAACAACCCCATCAAAAATTTGGCAAAGGATACGAACAGACACTTCTCAAAAGAAGACATTTATGCAGCCAACAGACACATGAAAAAATGCTCATCATCGCTGGCCATCAGGGAAATGCAAATCAAAACCACAATGAGATACCATCTCACACCAGTTAGAATGGCAATTATTAAAAAGTCAGGAAACAACAGGTGCTGGAGAGGATGTGGAGAAATAGGAACACTTTTACACTGTTGATGGGACTGTAAATTAGTTCAACCATTGTGGAAGACAGTGTGGCGATTCCTTAGGGATCTGGAATTAGAATTACCATTTGACCCAGCCATCCCATTACTGGGTATACACCCAAATGATTATAAATCCTGCTGCTATAAGGACACATGCACACATATGTTTATTGTGGCACTATTCACAATAGCAAAGGCTTGGAACCAACACAAATGTCCAACAATGATAGACTGGATTAAGAAAATGTGGCACATATACACCATGGAATACTATGCAGCCATAAAAAAGGATGAGTTCATGTCCTTTGTAGGGACATGGATGAAGCTGGAAACCATCATTCTTGGCAAATTATTGCAAGGACAAAAAACCAAACACTGCATGTTCTCACTCACAGGTGGGAATTGAACAATAAGAAACTTGGACACAGGAAGGGGAACATCACACGCTGGGGTCTGTTGTGGGGTGGAGGGAGGGGGGAGGGATAGCATTAGGAGATATACCTAATTTAAATGACTAGTTAATGGGTGCAGCACACCAACATGGCACATGTATACATATGTAACAAACCTGCATGTTGTGCACATGTACCCTAGAACTTAAAGTATAATAATTATATATATATATATATATATATATATATATATAAAGAAACCTAAACAACTCTACAAGAAAAAAAACCAAAACATGAAAAAGTGGTCAAGGACATGAACAGACACTTTTCAAAAGAAGACATATATGTGGCCAACCAGCATATGAAAGAAAGTGCAAGATCACCGATTATTAAAGAAATGCAAATCAAAACCACAATAAGATACCATCTCACACCAGTCAAAATTGCTAATATTAAAAAGTCAAAAAATAACAGGTGCCCACAAGGTTGTGTGTACTACTAGTGTTGCTTCTGATATAAATATAGCTACACCTGCTTGCTTTTGGTTTCCAGTAATATGAAATATATCTCTCCACCCCTTTATTTGGAGTCTATAATGTCTTCACCAGTTAAGTGGGTTTCTTGTAAGAAATATATTGTTAGATCCTGTTTTTAAAATCTATTCTGCCAATCTTCATCTTTTAAGCGGAGCCTTTCATTCATTTATTTTCAGGGTTAATATTGATGTGTTAGGCTTCGTTCCCATTATAATGTTAATTGTTACCTAGTTGCTTTGTAGTCTCAATTGTGTAATTGTTTTATAAGACCAGTGAGTTTAATACTTTTATACGTTTTTATGATGGTGAGTCTTGACATTTAGTTCTCATGTTTAGAACTCCTTTGATCATTTCTTGTAGGGGTGGTATAGTGGTGATATATTCCCTTAGTGTTTTTTTTTTTTTTTTTTTTTGTCTGGGAAGGACTTTATTTCTCCTCTCTTAATGAAGCTTAGTTTAGTAATATACAAAACTCTTGGCTGACATTATTTTTTAAGATGCATAAAAATAGGGCCCTGATCTCTTGTAGCTTGCAAGTTTTCTGCTGAGAAGTCTATTGTTAGTCTCATGGGATGTCCTTTATAGTCATTAGATGTTTTTCTCGTTCTGATTTAAAATTTTTTTCCTTCATGTTGACTTTAGATAGATTCATAACTATATGACTTGCTGAAGTTTATTTGTGATGTATTTCCAAGGATGTCTTTCAGCTTCTTATATTTGAGTGCCTAAATATCTAGCAAAACCACAGAAGTCTTCCTCAATTATTATCTCAAATAAGTTACCCAAACTTTTTACTTTTTCTTCTTGTCACTCAAGTATAGCTATATCTGGTAGCTGTGGACACTTTACATAACCTCATATTTCTTAAAGTCTTTGTTCATTTTTAAAGTTCTTTGTTTTTTATTTGTGTCTAACTTGGTTAATTAAAAGAGCTGTCTTCAAGGTCTAAAATTGTTTCTTTTGTGTGGATATTGGTCTAAAATTCTCTTTTTTTGTTGTGTCTCTGCCAGGCTTTGGTATCAGGATGATGCTGGCCTCATAAAATGAGTTAGGGAGGATTCCCTCTTTTTCTATTGATTGGAATAGTTTCAGAAGGAATGGTACTAGCTCCTCCTTGTACCTCTGGTAGAATTCGGCTGTGCATCCGTCTGGTCCTAGACTTTTTTCGTTGGTAAGCTATTAAATATTTCCTCAATTTCAGAGCCTGTTATTGGTCTATTCAGAGATTCAACTTCTTCCTGGTTTAGTCTTGGGAGGGTGTATGTGTCGAGGAATTTATCCATTTCTTCTAGATTTTCCAGTTTATTTGCAAAGAGGTGTTTGTAGTATTCTCTGATGGTAGTTTGTATTTCTGTGGGATCGGTGGTGATATCCCCTTTATCATTTTTTATTGCATCTACTTGATTCTTCTCTCTTTTCTTCTTTATTAGTCTTGTTAGCAGTCCATCTATTTTGTTGATCTTTTCAAAAAAACAACTCCTGGATTCAGTGATTTTTTGAAAGGTTTTTTTTGTCTCTATTTCCTTCAGTTCTGCTCTGATCTTAGTTATTTCTTGCCTTCTGCTAGCTTTTGAATGTGCTTGCTCTTGCTTCTGTAGTTTTTTTAATTGCGATGTTAGGGTGTCAATTTTAGATCTTTCCTGCTTTCTCTTGTGGGCATTTAGTGCTATAAATTTCCCTCTACACACTGCTTTAAATGTGTCCCAGAGATTCTGGTATGTTGTGTCTTTGTTCTCGTTGGTTTCAAAGAACATCTTTATTTCTGCCTTCATTTCATTATGTATCCAGTAGTCATTCAGGAGCAGGTTGTTCAGTTTCCATGTAGTTGAGTGGTTTTGAGTGAGTTTCTTAACCCTGAGTTCTAGTTTGATTGCACTGTGGTCTGAGAGACAGTTTGTTATAATTTCTGTTCTTTTACGTTTGCTGAGGAGTGCTTTACTTCCAACTATGTGGTCAATTTTGGAATGAGTGCAGTGAGGTGCTGAGAAGAATGTATATTCTGTTGATTTGGGGTGGAGAGTTCTGTAGATGTCTATTAGGTCTGCTTGTTGCAGAGCTGAGTTGAGGTGCTCAATATCCTTGTTAACCTTCTGTCTCATTGAGAACACATGGACTCATAGAGGGGAACAACACACACTGAGGCCTACTACTGGGGGGTGGAGGGTGGAAGGAGGGAGAGGATCATGAAAAAATAATTAATGCATACTAGGCTTAATACCTGAGTGACAAAATAATCTGTACAACAAACCCCTGTTGTATGAATTTTCCATATGCCACAAACCTGCACATGTACCCCTGAACTTAAAATAAAAGTTAAAAAAATTAAAAGGATAATCAAAAAAAGAAACTATATATTTCATAATACAATACAATAATAGTGGCGGATTTAAACACCCCACTGACAGCACCAGGGAGCTGATCAAAGTAGAAAATAAACAAGAAAACTATGAACTTAAATGGCACTCTAAACCAAATTGATTAATAGATATTTAGAGAACATTCTACCCAACAGTTACAGAGTATGCATCCCTCTTATCTGTATGTGGAACATCCTCCAAAATAGACCATATTTTAGAGCACAAAGAAAATTAAATTACATCAAGTATCTCCTTGAACTACAGTGGAATAAAACTAGAAATCTGTACAAAGAGAAATTCTAAAAACTATTAAAATGGAATCTGTACATATGGAAAAAAAATGGTGGATAGAGGGCAGGACTTACTTGCAGCTCCCACTTGATAGACAGAAAAACATGTGGAGACTCACGTCATGAACTTTTGCTCCAAGAATTACCACAGAACATACCAGGAAAACTGAAGGGATTAACAAACCCTTTAAAAGAAGTGAGTTGCCACTGCAAACTCAATAAGACAGCCAAAAAACTGTGAGTGCTTAAAATGTGAGAGAAGAAAAGTCCATTTCTGAACACACATCTTCAATGGGGAACCTGAAAACCCAGATCCTGGGAAAGGATTAACCTTACCTAGAGAGCCAAGTGAAATATAAAAGTAAAAAAAGCAGTGGTAAGAGCCCTGTAGGAACTCTGGGTCCCCAGGGAAGGTATTTCTGATTTTATCTCACGGGGTACTTAGGGAGGGCTGCCAGTGAAATTGGGGAGGGACCACAGGGAGAAGAAAACTTCCAGCTGAACTTTTTAATAATTTCAAATGAGCATGAATTGTCCAGAGCAGAATCTGAAAGTAGAGGGTGAAAAGGGAGTACAGATACCAGCAAAGAAGACATGGCAAGCAGGAAATGGTGAACTCTGAAAGCCCTCCTTGCTTTCTCTGCAAGGAGGCTTGCAGCTTGGTGCAAGATCTCTGCCCTGCTCGCTGTCTGCCTGGATATGAACTCGATGCTGTTGGTAGGGCACAGTGGGAGTGAGACTGGCCTTGCTGGATGCGTGGGAGCTGGGTGAGGTTTGTCACTGCAGGCTTTCCCCCACTTCCTTGGTGATCTGTATAATGCAGCACAGGCAGCCATAATCCCCCTGGCAACCTAACTCTATTGGCTTGAGAACCACACCCCCATCCCCCACAGTGATTGCATCAAGCCCTGCCCAAAGAGAGGCCGAGCTCAGACACTCCAAACCCTGCCCTCACCTGATGTTTCTTATTTCCCCACCCTGGTAGCTGAAGACAAAAGATATAATCTCTTGGGAGCTCTACAGCCAATTGGTAACCCATTGCCTAAGAAACTCGAATACTTATGCAGATGACCTTAGGGAAACTTGTATCCCCTCTATACTACCACAGCTGATGCTCTCTTGAAAGAACCACCTCCTGGCTGGTGGCCAACCAACTGAAGTCATTACAGTAACATTATTTTTATAAAATAAAAATACCACTCCAAGAAAAAAGAAAACAACAGCTAATATCCTGGAGAACCAGAGGTCCTCAGTCTGTCCACATGACAACTTCCTGCTACCACAACCAGCATTTAAGAAAACCAGTGCACCAAAAAAAAAAAAAAAAAAAAAAAAGCAACAAAGGACCCACACAGAGTCGACTTCTCTCCCTGCTACCTCCACTGGAGCAGATGTTGGTATCCACAGCTGAGAAACCTGAAGATGGATCACATCACAGGACTCTTTGCAGACACTCCCCAGTACCAGCCTAGAGCCCGATAACCCCATAGGGTGGCTAGACCCAGAAAAGCAGTAACAATAACTGCAGTCCAGCTGTGAGAAAGCCCATCCTTAGGGCAAGGGGGAGAGCACCACATCAAGGGAACACCCTCTGAGACCAAAGAACCTGAACAGCAGCCCTTGAGACCTAGACCTTTCCTCTGACATAGTCTATCCAAATAGGAGAAAAAAAAAAACACAGAAAAACAATTCTGGTATATAACAAAGCAAGGTTCTTCACCCCCCAAAAGCCGACTAGTTCACCAGAAATGGATCAAAATTAAAAAGAAATCTCTAAATTGCCAAAAAAAATTCAGAAATTTGATTATTAAGCATCTCAAGGAGGCACCAGAGAAAGGTGAAAGTCAACTTAGAGAAATTTAAAAAATAATATGAGATGTAAACAAAAAAAAATCTGCACAGAAATAGCATAAGTAAAAAACAATCACAACTTCTGGAAATGAATGACACACTTAGAGAAATGCAAAAAAAAAAAAAAAAAAAAAAGAAAGAAACAAAAAAAAAACCTGAAAACTTTCAGCAATAGAACCAAAAAAGTGGAAGAAAGAACTCAGGGCTCAGACAAGGCTTTCAAATTAACCTAATCAAACAAAGACAAAGAAAAAAGAATCAAAATAATGTGCAAAGCATCAAAGAAGTTTGGGATTATTTTGAACAACCAAACCTAAGAATAAATGTGTTCCTGAGGAAGAAGAGAAATCTAAGTGTTTCAAAAACATATTTGAGGGAATAATCAAGGAAAAATGTCCTGGCCTTGCTAGACATCTAGACATCCAAATACAAGAAACTCAAAGGACACCTGGAAAATTCATCACAAAAAGATCGTCACTTAGGCACGTATTCATCAGATTATCTAAAGTCAATATGAAGGAAACAATCTTAAGACCTGTGAGGCAAATGCATCAGGTAACCTAAAAGGAAAGCCTATCACATTAACAGCAGATTTATCAGCAGAAACCCTTCAAGATAGAAGAGTTTGGGGTTCTATCTTCAGCCTCCTTAAAGAAAACAATTATTAGCCAAGAATTTTGTACCCAGCACAACTAAGCTTCATAAACGAAGGAAAGATACAGTCTTCTTCAGACAAACAAATGCGGAGAGAATTCACCACCTACAAGCCAGGACTAAAATAAATGCTAAAAGGAGTTCTAAATGTTGAAACAAAACCTGGAAATACACCAAAATAGAATTTCCTTAAAGCATAAATCTCACAGGGCCTATAAGATAATAAGACAATAAAAAACCCAAAGTATTATGGCAATAACTAGCACAGTCTATAGAATAGTATTTCACATCTCAATACTAACATTCAATGTAAATGGCCTAAATGCTCCACTTAAAAGATATAGAATGGCAGAATGGATAAGAATTCATCAACCAAGTATTTGTCATCTTCAAGAGACTAACCTAACACATAAGAACTCACATAAAACTTAAGGTAAAGAAGTGGAAATAATTATTCCATGCGAATAGACAAGAAAAGCAGGCAGGAATAGTTACACTTATATCAGACGAAACAGACTTTAAAGCAACAACAGTTAGAAAAGACAAAGAGGGACATTATATAATGATAAAATGACTAGTCCAATAGGAAAATATTACAATCCTAATTATATACACACCTAACTCTAGAGTTTCCAAATTTATAAACTCTTACTTCTAGACATAAGAAACAAGATAAATGGCAACACAATAAAGTGGGGGATTTCAATGTCACACTGACAGCACTAGTCAGGTAATCAAGACAGAAATTCAACAACAAAAAATGGATTTCAGCTATACCCTAGAACAAATAAACTTAACATATATTCACAGAACATTCTACCCCAAAACTGCAGAATACACATTCTGTTCATCAACAAAGGGAACATTCTTTAAGTTAGATTATATGATAGGCCACAAACAAGTCTCAAATTTAAGAAAATCAAGCTATATCAAGTACTCTCTCAGTCTACAGTGGAATGAAATTGGAAATCAACTCCAAAAGAAACCCTGAAAACCAGGAATATATATTGAAATTAAATAACCTGCTCCTGAATGATTATTGTATCAACAATGAAATCAACACGAAAATTTAAAAATTCTTTGAAATGAACAATAATAGTGACACAACCTAACCTATGAAAACCTCTGTAATAGAGCAAAAGCAGTGCTAAGAGGGAAGTGAATAGCATTAAATCCCAACATCAAAACGTCTAAAAGGGCACAAATAGACAATCTAAGTTCACACTTCAAAGAACTAAAGAAACAAGAACAACGCAGACCTAAACCTAGCAGAAGAAAATAAGTAAGAAAAATCAGAGCAGAACTAAATGAAATTGAAACACACAAACAAAAAAAAAACCCAAAGAGTAAATAAAACAAAGTGTTGGCTCTTTAAAAAAGTAAAGAAAATTGATCGACCGTTAGCAAGATAAACCAAGAAAAGAAGAGAGAAGATCCAAATAAGCTCGATTTGAAGTGAAACGGGAGCTATTACAACCGATACCAAAGAAATACAAAAAATTATTTAAGGCTACTAAGAACAGCTTTATGCACATAAACTAGAAAACCTAAGATAGATGGATAAATTCCTGAAAATCTACTACCTTCCTAGATTAAACCAGGGAAAAATGTAAACTCAGAGCAGACCAATAACAAGCAGTGATGTTGAAGTGGTAATAAAAAATTACCAACAAAAAACGTCTAGAATCAGACGGATTTACAGCTGAATTCTATCAGACATTCAAAGAAGAATTGGTACCAATACTATTGACGCTACTCCAAAAGATAGAGAAAGAGGGAATCCTCCCTAAATCATTCTATGAAGCCAGTATAACCCTAATACCAAAACCAGGAAAGGACATGACAAAGAATGAAGACTGCAGACCAATATCCTTGATGAACATAGATGTAAAAATTCTCAAAAAAAATGCTACCTCACCGAACCCCACAGCATATCAAAAAAATAAGCCACCATCTTCAAGTGGGTTTCATAACAGGGAGGCGGAGTTGGTTTAAAATAAGCAAGTCAATAAATGTGATTCACCACATAAACAGAATTAAAAACAAAAATCACATAATCATCTTGACAGATGCAGAAAAAGCATTTGACAGAATCAGCACCTCTTTATGATTAAAAACCTCAGTAAAATCAGCATAGAAGGGACATAACTTAAGGTAAAAAAAGCCATTTATGACAAACGCACAGCCAACATTATACTGAATGAAGAGTAGTTGAACGCATTCTCCCTGAGAAGTGAAACAAGACAAGGATGCCCATTTTCACCAATTCTATTCAACATAGTAGTGGAATTCTTAGCCAGAGCCATCAGACAAGAGAAAGAAAGGGTGTCCTTATCCATAAAGAGGAAGTCAGACTGTTACTGTTTGCCAATGATGTGACTGTATACCTAGAAAACCCTACAGATTCACCCAAAAAGCTCCTAGACCTGAAAAATAAATTCAGCAAAATTTCATGTTACAAAATCAGTAGCATTACACAAATCAGTAGCACTGCTATACACCAACAACTACCAGGTTGAGAATCAAATTAAAATCTCAACCCCTTTTACAATAGCTGCAAAAAATATATAAAATCTTTAGGCATTTGCCTAACTAAGAAGTTTAAAGACCTCTACAAGGAAAACTACAGAACACTGCTGAAAGAAATCATAGATGAAACAAACAAATGGAAACACATCCCATGCTTACAGATGGGTAGAACCAATATTGTAAAAATGATCATACTGACAAGAGCAATCTACAAATTCAATGCAATTCATATGGAACAATAAAAAGGGCCCACATAGCCAAAGCAAAATTAAAAATAAAAAATCTGGAGGCATCACGTCACCCGACTTCAAACTATACTATGAGGCCACAGTCACCAAAACAACATGGTACTGTTAAAAAATAGGCACATAGATGAATGGAACACAATAAATAACTCAGACATAAAGCCAAATTCTTACAAACAACGGATCTTCAACAAAGCAAACAAAAAACATAAAGTTTTTAAAAGAACTTTATTGTCTATATATTTATATATATATAATATCTATATATTTGTTGAATGTATCCTATTCAACAAATGGTACTGAGATAATGGGCAAGCCACATGTTGGAGAATGAAACTGGAGCCTCATCTCTCACCTTATACAAAAATCAATTCAAGATGGATTGAGGACTTAAATCTGAGAACTGAAACCATAAAAATTCTAGAAGATAACTTTGGAAAAACCCTTCTCAATATTGGCTTAAGCAAAGACTTCATGACCAAGAACACAAAAGCAAATGCAACAAAAACAAAGATAAATAGATAGGACTTAATTAAACTAAAAAGCTTCTGCACAGCAAAAGAAATAATCAGCAGGGTAAAGAGACAACCCACACAGTGGGAGAAAAATATTCATGAACTACGCATCTGACATAGGACTAATATCCAGAATCTACAACGAACTCAAAAAAATCCACAAAAAAATCGCAACAATCCCATCAAAATGTGGGGTAAGGACCTGAATAGACAATTTTGAAAAGAAGATATACAAATGGCCAACAAACATATTTAAAAATGCTCAACACCACTAATTACCAGGGAAATGCAAATCAAAACCACAATGTGACACCAATTACTCCTGCAAGAATGGCCATAATTAAAAATTTTTAAATAATAGATATTGCTGTGGATATGGTGAAAATGAACTCTTATACACTGCTAGTGGGAATGCAAACTAGTACAATCATTATGCAAAACAGTATGAAGATTCCTTAAAGAACTAAAAGTAGATCTATCCTTTGATCTAGCAATTCCACTACTGGCTATCTATGCAGAGGAAAAGAATTAACTATACAAAGAAGACACTTGCACATGCATGTTTACAGCAGCACAATTCACAATTGCAAGAAAATGGAACCAGCCCAAATGGCCACCAATCAATGAGTGGATAAAAAATGTACATATATGCCATGGAATAATACTCAGCCATAAAAAGAAGTAAAACAATGGCATTCATAGCAACCTGGATGGAGTTGCAGACAATTATTCTAAGTGAAGTAACTCAGGAATGAAAAACCAAACTTTTTATGTTCTCACATAAGTGGGAGCTAAGCTATGAGGGCGCAAAAGCATAAGAATAATACCATGGGCTTTGGGGACTTGGGGGAAAGTGTGGCCGGGGGTGAGGAATAAGAGACTACACATTGGGTTCAGTGTATATTGTTTGCGTGATTGGTTCCCACAATCTCAGAAATAACCACTACAGTGCTTATCCATGTGACTAAACACTCCTTGTTCCCTAAAACCTATTGAAATAAAAAATAAATTAATCAAAATAATAAAAAGAAGAATATAATCTGTACAGAGTGCTACACAGTTAGCTATTGTCCTTTGTAAAATACAGTTCCTAGTGTTAAATAAAGTTTAGTGTAAAGCTCCCTCCTTACATATGTTAAGTGCATCCTAAAGGTTTTGCTGTACATCCTGAAGTATAACATGTGGAGATATGAACAGACCATAGCCTACTCTTGTGCCAATCACCGAGTTTTGGCCAATCAAATGTGGTCAACTCTTTGAACTGTGTTCACATAAGGCAAACACCAACCTGTAACTTCCATTTTCTGTACATTCCCTTTCTTTTTCTGTTCATAAATCTTCTTCCACCATGTGGTCACACTGGAGTCTCTGAGCCTACTCTGGCTTGGGAGGCCGCCTGATTTGTAAATTTTTTCTTGGTCAATTAAACTATCTTAAAATAAAATAAAATAAAATAAAACTATACAGGTACATGAAAATTAAACAACCTACTCCTGAATGACCTTGGGTCAATGATGAATTTAAGGTTGAAATTAAAAATACTTTTTGAAACCAATTAAAATGGAAACAAAACATACCAAAAGCTCTGGAATACAGCAAAAGCAGTGCTAAAAGGGAAGTGTATGGTGTTAAACATCTTCATAAAAAGATGGAATGATCACAAATTAACAATGTAACATTGCACCTCAAGAAACTAGAGAAACAAGAATAAAACAAATTGAAACAAGAATGATCACAAATTAACAATGTACCATTGCACCTCAAGAAACTAGAGAAACAAGAATAAAACAAACTCAAAGCTAACAGAAAAAAGACAAGAAACATAAGAGAAGAATTAAATAAAATTGAGACAAGAAAAACAATACAAAGGATCAAGGAAATGAAAAGTTGATTCATTGAAAAAATAAAGCTGAAACAGTGCTAGCTACATTAAGCAGGAAAAAAAAGATTCAAATTGGCACATAGATAACAACTTTGCCCTGCAGCTCCCATGTAGAAGGATGAAAACGGTGAGTGAATTCCTGATCTTCAATTAAGGTACAAAGGTTCTCTCATTAAGACTGACTCGGTGGTTGGCGTGACCCACAAGAGCAAGGAAAACCAGGGTGGAGTGATGGCCTACCCGGGAGCTGCACAGGCCAAAGGGAGCTCCCTCTGGCAGCCAAGGGAGGTGGTGGGAGATTGTGCTACCCATCTCTGAAAACCACACTCTTCCCATGGGTCCTTTCAACCCATGGCTCAGGTGTTCCCCTCATGAGTTCATGCCACCAGGGCCTTGGGTCCCAAGCACAGAGCTGTGCAGACTTATGGCAGCTGCTCAGGTGGGCAGCCTATTGAGCAGGCACTGAGACACAGAAGTATTTGCAAACACCAGCTCTGGAAATTCTGGTGAGGCAGGAGGTCCATTCACTCCCATGGGAAGGGGGCTAAAGAGTGGGAGCTAAGCAACCTTGCTCCCACACATCCCCACAAGCTAAAACCCACTGGCTTAGAATCCCCACCGGCCAGCGCAGCAGGCTGGAGACTGCCTAAAAAGATCAAGTTCCTGAGGGGGAGGGGTGGCCACCATGACTGTGGCTACAGTAGGCTATTTTCCCCTGCCACTAGTGCCAGCAAGACTGGGCAGTTACAACTGGGAGTAATTTCCCACAGCACAGCATAGCAGCTGGGTCAGTTTGTGGCCAGATAGCATTTTTAAGTGGGACCCTGGTGCACCCCTCCTTACCAGATGGGGCTTCCCTGCGGAAATTTCAGTATCCCCAGCCAGGGGTTTGTGGACAGAACTCTGATCTTCCTGAGAAGAGCCCCTAGGAAGAGGGGCAGCTGCAGTATTGTAGATCAGCGGTCTTAGTCTTTTCTGCCTGATGGTTCTGAAGAGTCAGAGCAGCCTGGACGAGGGAGATTCCCCTCCTCCGCCCAGCCCACCCACTTTGCCAAGGGGCAGCCAACTGTTTATTTAAGTGGGTCCCTGATTCTGCTTCTTCTGACTGGGTGAGCCTTCCCAACATGTGTCTTCGGACACCTCATACAGGACTGTTCCAGCCAGCAACAGGTCAGTGCCCCTCTGGGACAGACCTGCCAGAAGAAGTATAATTCTGCCATTTTTGCTGGTCTGCAGCCTCCACTGGTGATCCTTCCAGGGGTGGGAGGGGCTCAGGGAGATAGGGTCTGGAGTGGATCCCCAGCAAGCTGCAGCAGCCCTATGGAAAAGGGTCTGACTGCCAGAAGAAAAACAAACAGAAAGCAACAACAACATCAAAAGAAGACCCCACAAAACCCCATCCAAAGGTCAGCAGCCTTCAAGATCAAACGTAGATTAGACCATGAAGATGAGAAAAAATGAGCACAAAAGTGCTGAAGATTCAAAAACGCGGAGTGCTTCTCCTCCAGCTGATCGCAACACATCTCCAGCAAGGGCACAGAACTGGGCTGAGGCTGATAAGGATTAATTGACAGAAGTAGGCTTCAGCAGATGGGCAATAATGAACTTTGCTGAGCTAAAGAAGTATGTTCAAACTCATTGCAAAGAAGCTAAAAGCAATGATAACACATTAACGAGCTGTTAACCAGAATAACCAGTTTAGGGAGGAACACAAATGACCTGATGGAGCTGAAAAACACAACATGAGAACTTCACAATGCAAACACAATTATCAGTAGCTAAATAGACCAAGCAAAAGAAAGGATATAAGAGCTTGAAGACTATCTTGCTGAAATAAGGCAGGCAGACAAGATTAGAAAAAAAAGAATAAAAAGAAACAAACAAAACCTTCCAAAATGATGGGATCATGTTAAATGACCAAATCTATGACTGATACCTTAAAGAGATGGGAAGAATGGAATCAAGATGGAAAACACACTTTAGGATATCATCCAAAAGAATTTCCACAACATAGCAAGACAGGCCAACATTCAAATTTACGAAATCCAGAGAACCCCAGTAAGTTGCTCCACAAGAAGATCAACCTTAAGACACAAAATCTTCAGATTCTCAAAGTCATAATGAAGAAAAAAATGTTCAGAGCAACCAGAGAGAAAGACCAGGTAACGTATAAAAGGGAAGCACATCAGACTAACGAAAACTTCTCGGTGAAAACTGTACAAGCCAGAAGAGATTGGGTGCCAATATTAAACATTCTTAAAGAATTTCAAACTTAGAATTTCATATTTTGCAAAATTGAGGTTTAGAAGCAAAAGAGAAAATATTTTTCAGAAGAGCAAATGCTGAGGGGATTCATCACCACCAGGCCTACCTTGCAAGAGCTCCTGAAAAAAACACTAAATGTGGAAAGGAAAATTCATTACCAGCCATACAAAAACACACTGAAGTACAAAAAACACTAACCCTATGAAGCAACCACATAAACAAGTCTGCAAAATAACCAGCTAGAATCATGATGATAAGATCAAATTCACCCATAAAAATATCAACCTTAAATGTAAATGGGCTAAATTCCCCAAATAAAAGACAGATAGGCAAATTAGATAGAGTCAAAATCCATTGATGTGCTGTATAAAAGAGACCCATATCACATGCAAAGACACACATAGACTCAAAATTTTTAAAAAATGGAGAAAAATTTACCAACAGAAAAGAGCCAGGGTTGCAATGCTAGTTACTGACAAAACAGACTATAAACCAACAAATATCAAAAAAGACAAAGAAGGGCATTATTTAATAGTAAAGAGTTCAATTCACCAAGAAGAGCTTACTACCCTAAATATATATGCACCCAATACAGGAGGACCCAGATTTATAAAACAAGTTCTTGGAGACCTACAAACAGACTTAGACTCCCACACAATAACAGTGGAATACTTTAACACCCCACTGTCAATATTAGACAGATCATCATAACAGAAAATTAACAAAGATATTCAGGACTTGAACTCAACTCTAAATCAAGTGAACTTGATAGATATCTGCAGAACTCTTTACAGCAAAGCGACAGAATATACATTCTTCTCAGCACCACATGGAACTTACTCTAAAATTTGTAATGTAATTAAAAGTAAATCACTCTTCAGCAAATGCAAAAGAACTGAAATCATACCAGTCTCACAGACCACAAGGCAATCAAATTAGAACTCAAGATTAAGAAACTCACTCAAAACCACATAAACACATGAAAATTGAGCAACCTGCTCCTGAATGAATCTTGGGTAAATAACGAAATTAAGGCAGGAATCAAGAAGTTCTTTGAAACCAATGATAACAAAGATAAAACATAACAGAATCTCTGGGATGCAGCTAAAGCACTGTTAAGTGGGAAATTTTAAGCACTATAAATCCACATCAAAGATCTAGAAAGATCTCAAATCAACTCCCTAACATTACAACTAAAAGAACTAGAGAACTAAGAGCAAACAAACCCCCAAAGATAGCAGAAAAAAGAAATAATCTAGATCAGAGTGGAACTGAAAGAGATAGAGACACAAAACACCCTCCAAAAAAATTAATGAATGCAGGAGCCTTTTTAGAAAAATAAATAAAATAGATAAACTGCTAGCTAGACTAAGAAGAAAAGAGAGAAGAATCAAATAGACATAATAAAAAATGATAAAGGGGATATCACAACTAGTGTCACAGAAATGAAAAAGCTATCACAAAATACTATACTCACCTCTATGCAAATAAACTAGAACATCTAGAAGAAATGGAAATATTCCTGGACACACACACCCTCCCAAGACTGAATGAGGAAAAAATTGAATCCCTGAATAGACAAATAATGAGTTTTGAAATTGAGACAGTAATAAATAGCCTACAAACCAAAAAAAGCCCAGGACCAGATGGATTTACAGCTGAATTCTAACAGAAATACAAACAGGAGACGGTACCATTTTTTTTCTGAAACTATCAAAAATGAAATTAAGATGGAAATAAAGTATTCTTTGAACTGAACGACAATAATAACACAATCTACCAAAACCTCTGGGATACAGCAAAGGTGGAGATAAAAGAAAAGTTCATAGTCCTAAATGCCTGCAATACAAAGACTAAAAGATCACAAACACATTCTAAGATCACTCCTCAAGGAACTTGAGAAACAAGAACAAACCAAACACAACCCCATCAGAAGGGAAATAACCAAGATCAGAGCAGAACAAAATAAAATTGAAATAAAAAATACAAAAGATAAATGAATCAAAAAGCAGGTTCTTTGAAAAGGTAAATAAACTTGATAGACCATTAGCAAGATTAACGAAGAAAAGAAGAGAGAACATACAAATTACCACACAAAAAAAGGAAATATTACAACTTACACCACTGAAATACAAAAGATCATTCAAGGCTACTATGAACACCTTTATGCATATAAACTAGAAAACCTAGAAGAGATGGATAAATTCCTGGAAAAATACAACCCTCATAGCTTAAATCAGGAAGAATTAGATACCCTGAACAGACCAATAACAAGCAGTGAGATTGAAATGGTAATTTTAAAATTACCAAAACAAAAAAGTCCAGGACCTGACAGATTTACAGCAGAATTCTACCAGACATTCAAAGAAGAACTTGTACCAATCCTTTTGACATTATTCTACAAGACAGAGAAAGAAAGATCCCTCCCTAATTCATTCTATGAATCCAGCATCACAGTAATACCAAAAACAGGAAATGACATAACAACAACAACAAAAAAAACCAAACTACAGACCGATATTTTTGATGAACATAGATGCTGAAATCCTTAACAAAATACTAGCTAACTGAATTCAACAACATACCAAAAAGATAATCCACCATGAACAAGTGGGTTTCATACCAGGGATGCAGGGATGGTTTAACATATGCAAAACAATGAATTGATATACCACATAAAAAAATTAAAAACAAAAATCACACGATTATTTCAATAGATGCAGAAGAAGCACTCAACAAAATGTAGCATTTCATGATGATTGAAACTCTGTGGAGAGAATGTGAAGAAATAGGAATGCTTTTACACTGTTAATGGGACTGAAATTAGTTCAACCATTGTGGAAGACAGTGTGATAATTCCTCTAGAATCTAGAACCAGATATACTATTTGACCCAGCAATCCCATTATGGGTATATACCCAAAGGATTATAAATCGTTCTATTATAAAGACACATGCACATGTATGTTGATTGCAGCACTATTCACAATAGCAAAGACTTGGTACCAACGCAAATGCCCATCAATGATAGACTGGTTAAAGAAAATATGGCACATATATACCCTGGAATACTATGCAGCCACAAAAAAAAGAATGAGTTCATGTCCTTTGCAGGGACATGGATGAAGCTAGAAACCATCATTCTCAGCAAACTAACACAGGAACAGAAAACCTAACACTGCATGTTCTCACTCATAAGTGGGAGTTGAACAATGAGAACACATGGACACAGGGAGGAGAATATCACACACCGGGGCCTGTCATTGGTGGGGTGCAAGGACAGGGAAAGCATTAGGACAAATACCTAATGCATGCGGGGCTTAAAACCTAGATGATGGGTTGATGGGTGCAGCAAACCATCATGGCACATGTATACCTATGTAACAAACCTGCACATTCTGCACATGTATCCCAGAACTTAAAGTGAAATCTTTTTAAAAACACCAAAATCCCAAAAAGAGCAATACAAAAATGCCCCAACCTATGTATAGCCACAAGTTCATAAAAATATTTTTTAAAATAGATAGATTTAATGAAAAAAATGCTCTCAGCAAAATCAGCATACGAAGAACATACCTTAATGTAATAAAAGCCTTCTATGACAAACTCACAGCTAACATAACACTGAATGGGGAAAAGTGGAAGGCATTTTCTCTGAGAGCTGTAAGAAAAAAGGATGCCCACTCTTACCACTCTTCTTCAACACAGTACTGGAAGTCCTAGCCAGAGCAATCAGACAAGAGAAAGAAATAAAAGGCATCCAAATGGTAAAGATGAAGTCAAACTGTCACTGATGACTATATAATTGTTTTCTTTGAAAATTTAAAGACTCCTACAGAAAGCTCCTAGAACTGACAAAAGAATTCAGCAAAGTTTCCAGATACAAGATTAATGTACACAAATGAGTAACTCTCCTATACACTAACAGCAACCAAGTGGAGAATCAAATTAAGAACTCAATGCCTTTTACAATAGCTGCAAAAACAAACAAAAACCAAAAAACAAACAAACAAAAAAACCTGGGAATATAGTTAACCAAAGAGTCAAGAGACCTCTACAAGGAAAACTACAAAACACTGCTGAATAAAATCATAGATGACACAACAAATGAAGACACATCCCATGCTCATGGATGGGTATAATTGATATAGTGAAAATGACCATACAGCCTAAAGCAATCTACACATTCAATGCAATTCCCATCGAATTATCAACATAATTCTTCACAGAACTAGAAAAAACAATCCTAACATATATGTAACAAAAATGAGCCCACATACCAAAAGGAATACTAAGCAACAACCAAAATTCTGGAGGCAAAACATTACCTGACTTCAAACTATACTTTAAGGCCATAGTCACCAAAACAGCACGGTACCAGTATAAAAATAGGCACATAGACTAACAGAACAGAATAAAGAACCCAGAAATACACCCAAATACTTACAGCCAACTGATCTTCGACAAACAAAAAATAACATAACGTGAGGAAAGGACACCCTTTTAAACTAATGGTGCCGGGATAATTGACAAGCCACATGCAGAAGTATGAAACTGGATCCTTATCTCTCACCTTATACAAAAATCAACTCAAGGTGGATTAAGGACTTTAACCTAAGACCTGAAACTATAAAAATTCTAGAAGTTAACATTGGAAAAATCCATCTAGACATTGGCTCAGGCAATAATTTGATGACTAACAACCCAAAAGCAAATGCAAGAAAAACAAAGATAAATAGCTGGGACCTAATTAAACTAAAGAGCTTTGCATGGCAAGAGGAACAATCAGCAGAGTAAACAGACAACCCACAGAGTGGGAGAAAATCTTCACAATCTGTACATCTGACAAAGACTAATATTCAGAATTTGCAATGAACTGTAACAAATCAGTAAGAAAAAAAAAAAACAATTTCATCAAAAAGTGGGCTAAGGACATGAATAGACAATTTACAAAAAAAAAAAAAGATACACAAATGGCCAAAAAACATGAAAAAATGCTCAATCAACATCACTAATGATCAGGAAAATGCAAATCAAAACCACAATGTGATACCACCTTACTGCCGCAAGAATGGCCATTAAAAAAAAAAACAGTAGATGTTGGTGTGGATGCAGTGATTAGGGAACACTTCACTGCTGGTGGGAATGTAAATTAGCATAGCCACTATGGAAAACAGTGGGGAGATTCCTTAAAGAAATAAAATTAGAACTACCATTTGATCCAGCAGTCCCACTACTGGGCATCTATCCAGAGGGAAATAAGTTATTATTCGAAAAAGATACTTGCACAGGCATGTTTATAGCAGCACAATTCACAATTACAAAATCATGAAACCAACGCAAATGCCCATCAATCAACTAGTAGATAAAGAAACAGTGATATATATATATATTCCATCATATATATATATTCCATCATATATATATATTCCATCATATATATATTCCATCATATATATATTCCATCATATATATATATTCACATCATATATATATATACATATATTTATATTTATATATATGATGCAATACTACTCAGCCATAAGAAGGAATGAATTAACAGCATTTGCAGTGACCTGGATGAGATTGGAGACTCTTATTTCAAGTGAAGTAACTCAGAATGGAAAACCAAACATCATATGTTCTCACTGATGTGTGGGAGCTAAGCTATGAGGACGCAAAGGCATAAGAATGATACAATGGACTTTGAGGACTTGGGGGAATGGGGGAAGATGGGTGGGGTGGCAAGGAATAAAGACTACAAATATAGTGCAATGTAGACTGCTGGGGTGTTGGGTGCACCAAAATCACACAAATTACCACCAAAGAACTTACTCATGTAATGAAATATCACATGTACCTCAATAAATTATTGGAAAAAAATTTAAAAAAGAGTGTCTCCCTAATTCATTCTATGAGACCAGCATCATCCTGATACCAAAACCTGGCAGAAATACAACTAAAAAAGAAAAATATAACAATATCCCTGATAAGCATTTATGCGAAAATTCTCAATAAAATACCAGCAAGCCAAATACAGCAGCACATCAAGAACCTTATCCACCATGATCAAGTTGGCTTCATCCCTGGGATGGAAGGCTGGTTCAATATACACATATCTATAAACATAATTCATCACATAAACAGATCTAAAGACAAAAACCACATGATGATTGCAATAAATGCAGAAAAGGCCTTCAATAAAATTCAACATTGCTACATGTTAAAAACTCTCAATAAACTAGGTATTGAAGGAACATACCTCAAAATAATAAGAGCCAATTATGACAAACCCACAGCCAATATTACACTGAATGGGCAAAGCTGAAAGCATGCCTCTTAAAAACTGGCACAAGATAAGGATGACTTCTCCCAACACTCTTATTCAACATAGTATTTTAATTTTTGTCCAGGGCAATCAGCTAAGAGAAAGAAATAAAGGGTATTCAAATAAGAAGAGGGGAAGTCAAATTTTTTATTTGCAGATGTCATGATCCTATATATAGAAAACCCCATCGTCTCACCCAAAAGCTTCTGAAGGTGATAAGCAACTTCAGCAAAGCCTCAGGGTACAAAATCAATATGCAAAAGTCACAAGCATTCCTATACACCAACAACAGGCAAGCAGAGAGCAAAATCATGAATGACGTCCCATTCACAATTGCTTCAAAGAGAATAAAATACTTAGGAATACAGCAAATAAGGGAAGTGAAGGGCCTCTTCAAGGAGAACTATAAACCACTAGTGAAGGAAATCAAAGAGGACACAAACAAATAAAAAAGCATTCCATGCTCATGGATATAAAGAATCAATATTATAAAAATGGACGTACTGCACAAATTAATTTCTAGATTTAATGCTATTCCCATTAAATTACCATTGACATACATCACAGATTTAGAATAAACTATTTTAAAACTCATACGAAATGAAAAAAGAGCTCATATAGCCAAGACAACCTTAAGCAAAAAGATCAAAGCTGGAGGCATCACGCTACAGAACTTCAAACTATATTACAAGGTTACAATAATCAAAACAGCATGATAATGGTACAAAAACAGACACATAGACCAATGGAACAGAATAGATAACTCAGAAATAAGACCACACATTTACAACCATCTGATCTTTAACAAACCTGACAAAAACAAGTAATAGGGAAAAGATTCCCTATTTAATAAATGCTGCTGGGAGAACTGGCTACCATATCCAGAAAACTGAAATTTGACCCCTTCCTTACACCTTACACAAAACTTAACTCAAGATGGATTAAAGACTTAAATGTAAAACCCAAAACGATAAAAAAAAAACACTAGAAGAAAATCTAGGCAATACTATTCAGGTCATGGGAATGGGAAAAGATTTCATGATGAAATCCTCAAAAGCAATTGCAACAAAAGCAAAAATTGACAAATGGGATTTAATTAAACTAAAGAGCTTCTGCACAGCAAAAGGAACTATAATTAGAGCAAACAGGCAACCTACAGAGTGGGAGAAAAATTTTGCAGTCTATCCATCTGACAAAGTTATAATATCTAGAATCTACAAGAAACTTAAACAAATTTACAAGAAAACAAACAAACAACCCCATCAAAAAGTGGGCAAAGGACATGAAAAGGCACTTCTCAAAAGATGACATTTGTGTGGCCAATAAACATGTGAAAAAAACCTCAACATCACTGATCATTATCAAAATCCAAATCAAAACCACAATAAAATACCATCTTATGACAGTCAGAATGACAATTATTAAAATGTCAAGAAAGAACAGATGCTGGCGAGGTTGCAGAGAAATAGGAATACTTTTACACTGTTGGTGGGAAAATAAATTAGTTCAATCATTGTGTAAGACAGCGTAGAAATTCCTCAAAAATGTAGAACCAGAAATACAATTTGACCTAGCATTCCCTTTACTGGGTATATACCCAAAGGAATATAAATCATTCTATTACAAAGATACATGCACATGTATGTTCAATGCAGCACTATTCACAATAGAAAAGACATGGAATCAACCCATATGTCCATCAGTGATATACTAAATAAATAAAATATGGTACATATACACCATGGAATACTATGCATCCATAAAAAAGAACAAAATCATGCCCTTTGCAGGGACATGGATGGAGCTGGAAGCCATTATCCTCAGCATACTAACGCAGGAAGAGAAGACCAAACACTGCATGTTCTCACTCATAAGTGGTAGCTGAACAGTGACAACTCATGGACATAGGGAGGAAAACAAAACACACTGAGGTCTGTTGAGGGATGGGGTAGGGGGAAGGAAAGCATTAGGAAAGACAGCTAATGCATGCTGTGCTTAATACCTAGGTGATGGGTTGATAGGTGCAGCAAATCACCATGGCACAGGATTTACCTATGTAACAAACCTGCACATCTTGCACATGTACCCCAGAATTTAAAATAAAAATAAAAATTAATAAAAAATAAAATAAAATACCTATGAATACATTTAACCAAGGACGTAAAGATTTCTACAAGAGAACTACAAAACACTGCTGAAAGAAATCATAGATGACACAAACCAATGGAAAACCGTCCCATGCTCATGAATTGGAAAAATCAACATTGTTTAAATGACCATGCTGCCCAAAGCACAATTTAGATTCCATCCATTTTTGTTAATTTGTCAATGCCATTTCTCACAGAATTAGAAAAAGCAATCCTAAAATTAATATAGGACCAAAAAAGAACCCAAAGAGTGAAAGAAGTCCTAAGCCAAAAGAACAAAGATGGCAACATTACATTACCTGACTCCAGGTTATACCACAAGGCTAACCAAAGCAGCATGGAACTGGTATAAAAATAGACACATAGATCAATGGAACAAAATAGCGCACCCAGAAATAATGCAACATACCTAAAACTAACTGATCTTTGGCAAAGCGGACAAAAATATACACTGGGGAAATGACACCCTATTTAATAAATGGTGCTGTGATAATTGGATAGTCATAGGCAGAAGAATGAGACTGGACTCCCATCTTTCACCATATACTGAAATTAACTCAAGAAGAGTTAAAGGCTTAAAGGTAGTACTTACCACTATAAAAATTATAGAATACAATCTAGAAAAAACTTTTCCAGATACTCACCTAGGCAAAGAATTTATAAATAAAATCTTAAAAGCAAATGCAAGAAAAAGAAAAATAGTCAAGTGGATCTTAATTAAACTAAAAATCTTCTACACAGCTTCTGATTGAAGCTGTGAAATAATCTGCTGAAATAATCAACAGCATAAACTGGCAACCTACAGAATGGGAGAAAATATTTGTAAGCCATGCATTTGCCAATTAACTAATATCCATAATTTACAAGAAACTCAAACGCTCTACAAGAATATAAACAAATAACTCCATTAAAATTGGGTAAAGGATAAGAGCAGATATTTTTCAAAAAAAAGACATACAAGCAGCCAACAAACATATTAGAAACTGCTCAGTGTCACTAATCAGCAGATACATGCAAATTTAAACCGCAATGTGATACCAACATATACCAATGAGAATGGCTAGTACTACAAAGTCATAAAAACAACTGGTGTTGATGACGATGCAGAGAAAAGGTAACACACACTGTGGGAGAAAATGTAAATTTGTACAACATCTTCTGCAAAAGACAATATGTGGATTTTGCAAAGAAGTAAAAATAGCATTACACTCTTACACAGCAATTCAACCACTGAATATCTACCCAAAAGAAAAGAAATAATTATAGAAAAATGGCACCTGTGCCTGTATGTTTGCTGTAGCACTATTCACAATACCAAAGTCATGGAATCAACCCAAATGTATATTAACAGATGTTTGGATAAAGAAATTGTTACACACACACACACACACACACACACACACACTGTAGACTGCTACAAAGTCAGAGAAAAGAATAAAATCATGTCTTTTTCAGCAGCATGTATAGAACTGAACACCATTACCTTAACTAAAACAACTCAGAAAGAGAAAGTCAAATACAACATTTTCTCATTTATAAGTGAGAGCTAATCAGTGTGTACACCTGGACATAAAGACTGAGAAAACAGTTGCACTAAAAAGCCTGAGATTTTATGCCATTAGTATGCCATATTTATATGACAAAACTCCACTTGTGCCCCCTAAATTTATAAAAATACAATAAAATAAAAAGTTATTGAGGTAGAGAAACATGGCACCCTAAGGACCAAGCTTTTCCCCCCCACCTTTTTTTATTATACTTTAAGATTTAAGGTACATGTGCACAATGTGCAGGTTAGTTAGATATGCATACATGTGCCATGTTGGTGTGCTGCACCCAGTAACGCATCATTTAACATTAGGTATATCTCCAATAACATCCCTCTCCCTCCCCCCACCCAACAACAGACCCTGGTGTGTGATGTTCCTCTTCCTGTGTCCATGTGTTCTCATTGTTAAATTTCGACCTATGAGTGAGAACATGCGGTCTTTGTTTTTTTGTCCTTGTGATAGTTTGCTGAGAATGATGGTTTCCAGATTCATCCATGTAACTACAAAGGACATGAACTCATCCTTTTTTATTGCCACATAGTAGTCCATGGTGGATATGTGCCATATATTCTTAATCCAGTCTATCATTGTTGGACATTTCGGTTGGTTGCAAGTTTTTGCTATTGTGAATAGTGCTGCTATAAACATATGTGTGCATGTGTCTTTATACCAGCATGACTTATAATCCTTTGGGTATATACCCAGTAATGTGATGGCTGGGTCAAATGGTATTTCTAGTTCTACATCCCTGAAAAATTGCCACACCGACTTCCACAATGGTTGAACTAGTTTACAGTCCCACCAACAGTGTAAAAGTATTCCTATTTCTCCACATCCTCTCCAGCACCTATTGTTTCCTGACATTTTAATGATCGCCATTCTAACTGGTGTGAGATGGTATCTCATTGTGGTTTTGATTTGCGTTTCTCTGATGGCCAGTGATGATGAGCATTTTTTCACGTGTCTTTTGGCTGCATAAATGTCTTCTTTTGAGAAGTGTCTGTTCATATCCTTCGCCCACTTTTTGATGGGGTTGTTTGTCTTTTTCTTGTAAATTTGTTTGAGTTCTTTGTAGATTCTGGATATTAGCCCTTTGTGAGATGAGTAGATTGCAACAATTTTCTCCCATTCTGTAGGTTGCCTGTTCACTCTGCTTGTAGTTTCTTTTGCTGTGCAGAAGCTCTTTAGTTTAATTATATCTCCTTTGTCAATTTTGGCTTTTGTTGCCATTGCTTTTGGTGTTTTAAACATGAAGTCCTTGCCCATGCCTATGTCCTGCATGGTAATGCCTAGGTTTTCTTCTAGGGTTTTATGGTTTTAGGTCTGAGGGTCCTGACTGTTAGAAGGAAAACTAACAAACAGAAGGGACATCCACACCAAAACCCCATCTGTACGTCACCATCATCAAAGACCAAAGGTAGATAAAACCACAAAGATGCGGAAAAAGAGCAGAAAAACTGGACACTCTAAAAATCAGAGCGCCTCTCCTCCTCCATAGGAACGCAGCCCTTCACCAGCAATGGAACAAAGCTGGACAGACAATGACTTTGGCGAGTTGAATTAAGAAGGCTTCAGATGATCAAACTACTCCAAGCTAAAAGAGGAACTCCGAACCCATGGCAAAGAAGTTAAAAACTTTGAAAAAAAATTAGACGAATGGCTAACTAGAATAACCAATGCAGAGAAGTCCTTAAAGGACCTGATGCAGCTGAAAACCAAGGCACAAGAACTACGAGATGAATGCACAAGCCTCAGCAGCCGATTCGATCAACTGGAAGAAAGGGTATCAGTGATGGAAGATCAAATGAGTGAAATGAAGCGAGAAGAGAAGTTTAGAGAAAAAAAGAATGCAAGAAACAAAAAAAGCCTCCAAGAAATATGGGACTATGTGAAAAGACCAAATCTATGTCTGATTGGTGTACCTGAAAGTGACAGGGAGAATGGAACCAAGTGGGAAAACACTCTGAAGGATATTATTCAGGAGAACTTCCCCAGTCTAGCAAGGCAGGCCAACATTCAAATTCAGGAAATACAGAGACTGCCAAGAAGATATTCCTCGAGAAGAGCAACTCCAAGAAACATAGTTGTCAGATTCGCCAAAGTTGAAATGAAGGAAAAAATGTTAAGGGCAGCCAGAGAGAAAGGTCGGGTTACCCACAAAGGGAAGCCCATCAGACTAACGGCTGATCTCTCAGCAGTAACCCTACAAGCCAGAAGAGAGTGGGGACCAATATTCAACATTCTTCTTCTTCATTTTATTATTATTATACTTTAAGTTTTAGGGTATATGTGCACAATGTGCAGGTTAGTTACATATGCATACATGTGCCATGCTCGTGTGCTGCACCCATTAACTCGTCATTTAGTATTAGGTATACCTCGTAATGCTATCCCTCCCCCCTCCCCCCACCCCACAACAGTCCCCAGAGTGTGATGTTCCCCTTCCTGTGTCCATTGTGTTCTCATTGTTCAATTCCCACCTATGAGTGAGAACATCTGGTGTTTGGTTTTTTGTCCTTGCGACAGTTTACTGAGAATGATGACTTCCAATTTCATCCATGCCCCTACAAAGGACATGAACTCATCATTTTTTTATGGCTGCATAGTATTCCACGGTGTATATGTGCCACATTTTCTTAATCCAGTCTATCCTTGTTGGACATTTGGGTTGGTTCCAAGTCTTTACTATTGTGAATAGTGCTGCAATAAACATATGTGTGCATGTGTCTTTATAGCAGCATGATTTATAGTCCTTTGGGTATATACCCAGTAATGGGATGGCTGGGTCAAATGGTATTTCTACTTCTAGATCCCTGAGGAATTGCCACACTGACTTCCACAAGGGCTGAACTAGTTTACAGTCCCACCAACAGTATAAAAGTGTTTCTATTTCTCCACATCCTCTCCAGCACCTGCTGTTTCCTGACATTTAGGAAACATTATAACTTGTGTGAGATGGTATCTCATTGTGGTTTTGATTTGCATTTCTCTGATAGCCAGTGATGGTGAGTATGTTTTCATGTGTTTTTTGGCTGCATAAATGTCTTCTTTTGAGAAGTGTCTGTTCATATCCTTTGCCCACTTTTTGATGGGGTTGTTTGTTTTTTACTTGTAAATTTGTTTGAGTTCATTGTAGATTCTGGATATTAGCCCTTTGTCAGATGAGTAGGTTGCAAAAACTTTCTCCCATTTTGTAGGTTGCCTGTTCACTCTGATGGTAGTTTCTTTTGTTGTGCAGAAGCTCTTTAGTTTAATTAGATCCCATTTGTCAATTTTGGCTTTTGTTGCCATTGCTTTTGGTGTTTTAGACATCAAGTCCTTGCCCATGCCTATGTCCTGAATGGTATTGTCTAGGTTTTCTTCTAGGGTTTTTATGGTTTTAGGTCTAACATTTAAGTCTTTAATCCATCTTGAATTAATTTTAGTATAAGGTGTAAGGAAGGGATCCAGTTTCAGCTTTCTACATATGGCTAGCCAGTTTTCCCATCACCATTTGTTAAATACGGAATCTTTTCCCCATTGATTGTTTTTCTCACGTCACTCAAAGATCAGATAGTTGTAGATATGCGGCGTTATTTCTGAGGGCTCTGTTCTGTTCCATTGATCTATATCTCTTTTGGTACCAGTATCATGCTGTTTTGGTTACTGTAGCCTTGTAGTATAGTTTGAAGTCAGGTAGCGTGATGTCTCCAGCTTTGTTATTTTGGCTTAGGGTTGACTTGGCAATGCGGGCCCTTTTTTGGTTCCATATGAACTTTAAAGTAGTTTTTCCAATTCTGTGATAAAAGTCATTGGTAGCTTGATGGGGATGGCATTGAATCTATAAATTACCTTGGACAGTATGGCCGTTTTCATGATATTGATTGTTCCTACCCATGAGCATGGAATGTTCTTCCATTTGTTTGTATCCTCTTTTATTTCATTGAGCAGTGGTTTGTAGTTGTCCTTGAAGAGGTCCTTCACATCCCTTGTAAGTTTGATTCCTAGGTATTTTATTCTCTTTGAAGCAACTGTGAATGGGAGCTCACTCCTGACTTGGCTCTCTGTTTGTCTGTTATTGGTGTATAAGAATGCTTGTGATTTTTGTACATTGATTTTGTATCCTGAGACTTTGCTGAATTTGTTTCTCAGCTTAAGGAGATTTTGAGCTGAGGCAATGGGGTTTTCTAGATATACTATCATGTTATCTGAAAACAGGGACCATTTGACTTCCTCTTTTCCTAATTGAATGCCCTTTATTTCCTTCTCCTGCCTAATTGCCCTGGCCAGAACTTCCAACACTATGTTGAATAGGAGTGGTGAGAGAGAGGGCATCCCTGCCTTGTTCCAGTTTTCAAAGGGAATGCTTCCAGATTTTGCCCATTCAGTATGATATTGGCTGTGGGTTTGTCATAGATAGCTCTTATTATTTTGAGATATGTCACATCAATACCTAATTTATTGAGAGTTTTTAGCATGAAGGGATAAAAAAAATGATTTTCAACCCAGAATTTCATATCCTGCCAAACTAAACTTCATAAATGAAGGAGAAATAAAATCCTTTACAGACAAGGAAATGCTGAGAGATTTTTTCACCACCAGGCCTGCCCTAAAAGAGCTCCTGAAGGAAGCACTAAACATGGAAAGGCACAACTGGTACCAGCCCCTGCAACAACATGCCAAATTGTGAAGACCATCAAGGCGAGGAAGAAACTGCATCAACTGACGAGCAAAATAACAAGCTAACATCATAATGACAGGATCAAACTCACACATAACAATATTAACCTTAAGTGTAAATGGGCTAAGTGCTCCAATTAAAAGACACAGTCTGGCAAATTGTTTAAAGGGTCAAGACCTGTCAGTGTGCTGTATTCAGGAAACCCATCTCACGTGCAGAGACACACATAGGCTGAAAATAAAGGGATAGAGGAAGAAATACCAAGCAAATGGAAAACAAAAAAAGGCAGCAAATGGAAAACAAAAAAACAAAATATCCTAGTCTTGGATAAAACAGACTTTAAACCAACAAAGATCAAAAGAGACAAAGAAGGCCATTACATAATGGTAAAGGGATCAATTCAACAAGAAGAGCTAACTATACTAAATATATATGCACCCAATACAGGAGCATCCAGATTCATAAAGCAAGTCTTTAGAGGCCTACAAAGAGACTTAGACTCTCACACAATAATAATGGGAGACTTTAACACCCCACTGTCAATATTAGACAGATCGACGAGACAGAAAGTTAACAAGGATATCCAGGAATTGAACTCAGCTCTGCATCAAGCAGACCTAATAGACATCTACAGAACTCTCCACCCCAAATCAACAGAATATACATTCTTCTCAGCAGTACACCACACTTAGTCCAAAATTGACCACATTGTTGGAAGTAAAGCATTCCTCAGCAAATGTAAAGGAACAGAAATTTAACAAACTGTCTCTCAGACCACAGTGCAATCAAACTAGAACTCAGGATTAAGAAACTCACTCAAAACCACTCAACTACATGGAAACTGAACAACCTGCTCCTGAATGACTACTGGGTACATAACGAAATGAAGGCAGAAATAAAGATGTTATTTGAAAACAATGAGAACAAAGACACAACATACCAGAATCTCTGGAACACATTCAAAGCAGTGTGTAGAGGGAAATTTATAGCACTAAATGCCCACAAGAGAAAGCAGGAAAGATCTAAAATTGACACCCTAACATCACAAATAAAGAACTAGAGAAGCAAGAGCAAACATTCAAAAGCTAGCAGAAGGCAAGAAATAACTAAGATCACAGCAGAGCTGAAGGAAATAGAGACACAAAAAACCTTCAAAAAATCACTGAATCCAGGAGCTGCGTTTTTGAAAAGATCAACAAAATTGATAGACTGCTAGCAAGATTAATAAAGAAGAAAAGAGAGAAGAATCAACTAGACGCAATAAAAAGTGATATAGGAGGATCCCACAGAAGTACAAACTAACATCGGAGAATAGTATAAACACCTCTACGCAAATAAACTAGAAAAACTAGAAGAAATGGATGAATTCCTAGACACATACACCCTCCCAAGACTAAACCAGGAGGAAGTTGAATCTCTGAATAGACCAATAACAGGCTCTAAAATTGTGGCAATAATTAATAGCTTACCAACCAAAACAAGTCCAGGACCAGATGGATTCACAACCGATATCTACCAGAAGTACAAGGAGGAGCTCGTACCATTCCTTCTGAAACTATTCCAATCAATAGAAAAAGAGGGAATCCTCCCTAACTCATTTTATGAGGCCAGCATCATCCTGATACCAAAGCCTGGCAGAGACACAGCAAAAAAAGAGAATTTTAGACCATTATCCCTGATGAATATCGATGGAAAAACCCTTAATAAAATACTGGTAAACCGAATCCAGCAGCACATCAAAAAGCTTAACCACCATGATGAAGTGGGCTTCATCCCTGGGATGCAAGGCTGGTTCAACATATGCAAATCAATATACATAATCCAGCATGTAAACAGAACCAACGACAAAAACCACATGATTATCTCAGTAGATGCAGAAAAGGCCTTTGACAAAATTCAACAACACTTCATGTTAAAATGCTCAATAAATTAGGTATTGATGGGACGTATCTCAAAATAATAAGAGCTATCTATGACAAACCCACAGCCAATATCATACTGAATGAGCAAAAAGTGGGAGCATTCCCTTAGAAAACTGGCACAAGTCAGGGATGCCCTCCCTTACCACTCCTATTCAACATAGTGTTGGAAGTTCTGGCCAGGGCAATCAGGCAGGAGAAGGAAATAAATGGTATTCAATCAGGAAAAGAGGAAGTCAAATTGTCCCTGTTTGCAGATGACATGATTGTATATTTAGAAAACTCCATCGTCTCAGTCCAAAATCTCCTTAAGCTGATAGGCAACTTCAGCAAAGTCTCAGGATACAAAATCAATGTACAAAAATCAGAAGCATTCTTATACACCAATAACAGACAAACAGAGAGCCAAATCATAGTGAACTCCCGTTCACAATTGCTTCAAAGGGAATAAAATACCTAGGAATCCTATTTACAAGGGACGTGAAGGACCTCTTCAAGGAGAACTACAAACCACTGCTCAAGGAAATAAAAGAGGATACAAACAAATGGAAGAATATTCCATGCTCATTGGTAGGAAGAATCAATATCGTGAAAATGGCCATACTGCCCATGGTAATTTATAGATTCAACGCCATTCCCATCAAGCTACCAATGACTTTCTTCACAGAATTGGAAAAAAACTACTTTAAAGTTCATATGGAACGAAAAAAGAACCCGCATTGCCAAGTCAATCCTAAGCCAAAAGGACAAAGCTGGAGGCATCACACTACCAGAGTTCAAACTATACTGCAAGGCTACAGTAACCAAAAGAGCATGGTACTGGTACCAAAACAGAGATATAGACCAATGGAACAGAACAGAGCCCTCAGAAATAATGCTGCATATCTACAACCATCTGATCTTTGAGTAACCTGACAAAAACAAGAAATGGGGAAAGGATTCCCTATTTAATAAATGGTGCTAGGACAAAGCTTTTAAAAAATGGACTCTGATATTCAAGACAATATCCTTAGCCAAGGATACTTATGATTCTCAATTCCTGACAAGTATAGTGCCTTAAGATCGAATGATCCAAGTCCACCTTCAATCCTTCTTCTGACATCTGAATCCTTGAACCTGGTCCAGCTACATCTACTGATCAGTGAGTGCTTTAAAATTCCTGAGACATGATTCTTTCAAACTTTACTCCTTAGCCAAGTACTCTGGGTTCTAATCCTAGGACTAGGCTGCTTCCATTTCCTAGTTTGTAGAGTGCTTTGAAATGCATAGCCCAGTGTCAAGTCTAGCTTCCATCCCTTACCTGTGACTCCCTTAATCAAAATTCAGGAAGTACTATGAGACCATTCCTGATCAGCACAGTGCTATGGGGATCCTAGAAGCCATGGAAAGCAGATCCAGACCTTCTGGTTCATAAACTGTATCAAGATAAAAGTTTATTCTCTTCTCTACTTTATGTTTACCTACTTGGCACTTAGCCTGCCTCAGCCTTTCTTTAGACAACTGGGCTGGGTGTGGTGGCCCATGCCTGTAATCCCAGTACTTTTGGAGGCTGAAGCAGGAGGATTGCTTGAGCCAGGGAGTTGGAGGCCAGCCTGGGAAACATAGTGAGACTCTGTTTCTATGATAATTTTGTAAAATTAGCCAGGTGTGGTGGTATGTGCCTGTAGTCCCAGCTACATAGGAGGCTGAGGTTGGAGGATTGCTTGAGCCCAGGAGGTTGAGGCTGCAGTAAGCCATGTGTGTGCCACTGCACTACAGCCTGGGCAACAAACCCTGTCCAACCCCACCCCCAAAACAGACAATTGTCCTGAAGTCCTTGGCTCAGAGCCCCAGTCATTTTGAAATGTAAATCTAAAACTTCTTTGATACATTTTCTCTGTGTTGTGAAACAGATCTAACATTTAGCCAATAGTTTGGTTTCTAGATATATCAGTTTTACTTTCTCTTTGTCTGTATCAAATAACTGAATATTCAGTTAAAATTCTCCCTCTCCACAGATTTGTTTCTTTGTAATAGTATCTTCTTAATTTTTTTGCCGTATCTTCTATAGTATTATCCTTACTAATTCATATTATAGTTTGTGGGCGTGTATGTGTTTGTGTTTCTTAATGTAACCTTGCAGTTTCTACCATTTCGTCTGGGTTAACTGAAACTATGCTGTTTTTTCCAGGTTGGTGTCGAAGGCAGACATTGTGTGTGTTTCTCCAGTGTTCATTATTTTCTCCACCCCAATCTCAGAGTAAAGAACAGAATTATATATTAAAAAGTTATTAATAGTGATAAGAAATATGGTTACCATTTATCGTCTCATTTTGACTTGCATTTTCTGATATTTCTTTAATTATTTTTTATTTATAAGATTATACTTAAAGTAATTATTCAAGTTTTTATAGACCAAGAATTCCAAAAAAGACATACCCAAATAAATGAATAATAGATGATCATATGTTTTTGCATTGGCTCCCATCTTGCAAACTAGCCCTCTCATCCTATTGGTACAGTTGCAAATTTATATGCATCATTTGGGAGTTGCTCTAGAAAATATGTACCACCACCTAAAACTTTATGTATCTTCTGACCCTGAAGATATTATCTCAAGGAAATAATTCTGAGGCAATATTTTTTCACTAGAGAACCAAGTTTTCACTCTCATGCAATTTAGCAAGCTAATGACCACAAAATTATAAAACACACTCTAAGGCCGAAATGACAGAATATGTTCCTTGAAATGATATCAGTAGCACATAAAATAATGAGGACATATAATCAAGCTATACTGAAGGTGAGTTAAGTAGTGTACAAAATGTATACTTAGCATAATTCCATTTTTGCTAATATTTTATTATAAAACTTATTAAACACCCAGAGAGGTCAACTGAGTTGTACAGTAAGTATCACTATAACTGTTACCTAGAAACTGCAGTATAAGCAGATTTCTATCTTTACTTAATCACATATGGGTTTCTATGTCCATCCATTACCTATTCAGATTTTATCGAGGATTTTTTCCTCAATGTTCATCAGGGATATTGGTCTAAAATTCTCTTTTTTGGTTGTGTCTCTGCCAGGCTTTGGTATCAGGATTATGTTGGCCTCATAAAATAAGTTAGGGAGGATTCCCTCTTTTTCTGTTGATTGGAATAGTTTCAGAAGGAATGTACCAGCTCCTCCTTGTACCTCTGGTAGAATTCGGCTGTGAATCCAGGGTTGTTATTGGTCTATTCAGAGATTCAACTTCTTCCTGGTTTAGTCTTGTGAGGGTGTATGTATCGAGGAATTTATCCATTTCTTCTAGATTTTCTAGTTTATTTGCATAGAGGTGTTTGTAGTATTCTCTGATGGTAGTTTGTATTTCTGTGGGATCGGTGGTGATATCCCCTTTATCATTATTTATTGTGTCTATTTGATTCTTCTCTCTTTTCTTCTTTAGTAGTCTTGCTAGCGGTCTATCGATTTTGTTGATCTTTTCAAAAAAACCAGCTTCTGGATTATTAATTTTTTGAAGGGTTTTTTTTTATCTCTATTTCCTTCAGTTCTGCACTGATTTTAGTTATTTCTTACATTCTGCTAGCTTTTGAATGTGTTTGCTCTTGCTTTTCTAGTTCTTTTAATTGTGATGTTAGGGTGTCAATTTTGGATCTTTCCTGCTTTCTCTTGTGGGCATTTAGTGTTATAAATTTCCCTCTACACACTGCTCTGAATGCATCCCAGAGATTTTGGTATGTTGTGTCTTTGTTCTCGTTGGTTTCAAAGAACATCTTTATTTCTGCCTTCATTTCGTTATGTACCAAGTAGTCATTCAGTAGCAGGTTGTTCAGTTTCCATGTAGTTGAGCGGTTTTGAGTGAGTTTCTTAGTCCAGAGTTCTAGTTTGATTGCACTGTGGTCTGAGAGATAGTTTGTTATAATTTCTGTTCTTTTACATTTGCTGAGGAGTGCTTTACTTCCACCTATGTGGTCAATTTTGGAATAAGTGTGGTGTACTGCTGAGAAGAATGTATATTCTGTTGATTTGGGGTGGAGAGTTCTGTAGATGTCTATTAGGTCTGCTTGATGCAGAGCTGAGTTCAATTCCTGGGTATCCTTGTTGACTTTCTGTCTCCTTGATCTGTCTAATGTTGACAGTGGGGTGTTAAAGTCTCCCATTATTAATGTGTGGGAGTCTAAGTCTCTTTGTAGGTCCTCAGGACTTGCTTTATTAATCTGGGTGCTCCTATATTGGGTTCATATATTTTTAGGATAGTTAGCTCTTCTTGTTGAATTGATCCCTTTACCATTATGTAATGGCCTTCTTTGTCTCTTTTGATCTTTGTTGGTTTAAAGTCTGTTTTATCAGAGACTAGGATTGCAACCCCTGCCTTTTTTTGTTTTCCATTTGCTTGGTAGATCTTCCTCCATCCCTTTATTTTGAGCCTATGTGTGTCTCTGCACATGAGATGGGTTTCCTGAATACAGCACACTGATGGGTCTTGACTCTTTATCCAATTTGCCAGTCTGTCTTTTAATTGGAGCATTTAGCCCATTTACATTAAAAGTTAATATTGTTATGTGTGTATTTTATCCTGTTATTAAGATGTTAGCTTGTTATTTTGCTCGTTAGTTGATGCAGTTTCTTCCTAGCCTTGACGGTCTTTATATTTTGGCATGTTTTTGCAGTGGCTGGTACTGGTTGTTCCTTTCCATGTTTAGCGCTTCCTTCAGGAGCTCTTTTAGGGAAGGCCTGGTGGTGACAAAATCTCTCAGCATTTCCTTGTCTGTAAAGTATTTTATTTCTCCTTCACTTATGAAGCTTAGTTTGGCTGGATATGAAATTCTGGGTTGAAAATTCTTTTCTTTAAGAATGTTGAATATTCACCCCACACTCTCTTCTGGCTTGTAGATTTTCTGCCAAGACATCCGCTGTTAGTCTGATGGGCTTCCCTTTGTGGGTAACCTGACTTTTCTCTCTGGCTGCCCTTAACATTTTTTTCCTTCATTTCAACTTCGGCGAATCTGACAATTATGTGTCTTGGAGTTGCTCTTCTCGAGGAGTATCTTTGTGGCGTTCTCTGTATTTCCTGAATCTGAATGTTGGCCTGCCTTGCTAGATTGGGGAAGTTCTCCTGGATAATATCCTGCAGAGTGTTTTCCAACTTGGTTCCATTCTCCCCGTCATTTTCAGGTACACCAGTCAGACATAGATTTGGTCTTTTCACATAGTCCCATATTTCCTGGAGGCTTTGTACATTTCTTTTTATTCTTTTTTCTCTAAACTTCCCTTCTTGCTTCATTTCATTCATTTGATCTTCCATCACTGATACCCTTTCTTCCAGTTGATCGCATAGGCTCATGAGGCTTCTGCATTCTTCACGTACTTCTTGAGCCTTGGCTTTCAGCTCCATCACCTCCTTTAAGCACTTCTCTGCATTGGTTATTCTAGTTATACATTCCTCTAATTTTTTTTCAAAATTTTTAACTTCTTTGCCATTGATTTGAATTTCCTCCTGTAGCTTGGAGTAGTTTGATCGTCTGAAGCCTTCTTCTCTTAGCTCTTCAAAGTCATTTTCCATCCAGCTTTGTTCCATTGCTGTTGAGGAGTTGCGTTCCTTTGGAGAAGGAGAGGCACTCTGCTTTTTCGAGTTTCCAGTTTTTCTGCTCTGTTTTTTCCCCATCTTTGTGGTTTTATCTACATTTGGTCTTTGATGATGGTGACGTACACAAGGGATTTTGGTGTGGATGACCTTTCTGTTTGTTAGTTTTCCTTCTAACAGACAGGACCCTCAGCTGCAGGTCTGTTGGAGTTTGCTAGAGGTCCATGCCAGACCCTGTTTGCCTGGGTATCAGCAGTGGTGGCTGTAGTACAGCGGATCTTGGTGAACTGCAAATGCTGCTGTCTGATTGATCCTCTGGAAGTTTTGTCTCAGAGGAGTACCCGGCCGTGTGAGGTGTCAGTCTGCCCCTACTGGGAGGTGCCTCCCAGTTAGGCTGCTCAGGGGTCAAGGACCCACTTGAGGAGGCAGTCTGCCCATTCTCAGATCTCCAGCTGTGTGCAGGGAGAACCACTACTCTCTTCAAAGCTGTCAGATGGACATTTAAGCCTGCAGAGGTTACTGCTGTCTTTTTGTTTGTCTGTGCCCTGCCCCCACAGGTGGAGCCTACAGAGGCAGGCAGGCCTCTTTGAGCTGTGGTGGGCTCCACCCAGTTCGAGCTTCCTGGCTGCTTTGTTTCCCTAATCAAGCCTGGGCAATGGCAGGCACCCCTCCCCCAGCCTCACTGCGGCCTTGCAGTTTGATCTCAGACTGCTGTGCTAGCAATCAGTGACACTCCATGGGCGTAGGACCCTCTGAGCCATGTGCAGGATATAATCTCCTGGTGTCCCGTTTTTCAAGCCTGTTGGAAAAGTGCAGTATTAGGGTGGGAGTGACCCGATATTCCAGGTGCTGTCTGTCACCCCTTTCTTTGGCTAGGAAAGGCAAATCCCTGACCCCTTGTGCTTCCCAAGTGAGGCAATGCCTCACCCTGCTTTGGCTCATGAATGGTGCGCTGCACCCACTGTCCTGCACCCACTGTCTGGCACTCCCTAGTGAGATGAACCCAGTACCTCAGATGGAAATGCAGAAATCACCCATCCTCTGTGTCGCTCAGGCTGGGAGCTGTAGACCAGAGCTGTTCCTATTCGGCCATCTTGGCTCCACCCCTCAAAAAGTTTTTTTTTTTAAGATAGCCATTTTGATTGGTGTGAGATGGTATCTCATTGTCGATTTGGTTTGCATTTCCCTAATGATCAGTGATACTGAATTTTTTTGCATATGCTTGCTGACTGCGTGCATGTTTTCTGCTTATGTCCTATGCCCATTTTTAATGGGGTTGTTTGATTTTTGCTTGTTGATTTGTTAGAGCTCCATACAGATTCTGAGTATGAGATTGTCAGATGAATAGCTTGAAAATATTTTTTTTCATTTAATAGAGTGTCCCTTTACTTTGTTGATAGTTTCTTTAGCTGTGTTGAAACTGTTTCATTTAATTGGGTCCCACTTATCAATTTTTGCCTTTTTGCAAATGTTTTGGTATCTTGGTCATAAAATTTTGCCAGTTCCTATGTCCAGAATGACATTGACAAGGTTGTCTTCTAAGGCTTTATAGTTTTAAGTTTTACATTTAAGTCTTTAATCCATCTTGAGTTGATATTTGTATATGGTGAAAGGAAGGGGTTCAGTTTCAATCTTCTGCATATGGCTAGCCAGTTATTCTGGCAGTATTTATTGAATAGGGAGTAGTTTCACCATTTCTTATTGACAGCTTTGTCAAAGATCAGATGGTTGTAGATGTTCAGTTTTATTTCTGAGTTCTGTAATCTCTTCCCTTTGTCTATTTGTCTGTTTTTGTATCTGTACCATGTTGCTTTTTGTTGCTGTAGTCTTGCAGTATAATTTCAAATTGGGTCATGAGATGCTTCCAGCTTTGTTCTTTCTGTATAGCATTGCTATGGATATGGGGCTGTTTTTTCTTAAAAATAAATTTTAAAATGGAATTTTCTTATTCTGTGAAAAACAGTTTTAGTAGTTTGATAGGAACAACACTGGATCTGTAAATTGCTTTGGGCAGTGTGGTCATTTTAACAGTATTAAATCCTCCTATCCATGAGCATGGAATGATTTTCTTTTTGTTTGTGCCATCACTGATTTCTAGCCAAGTGTTTCCAAAGAAATCAGCAATTTAGTTTCAAAATACTTTCCATTATTTCTGAGGGCTCTGTTCTGTTCCATTGGTCTATATCTCTGTTTTGGTACCAGCACCATGCTCTTTTGGTTACTGTAGCCTTGTAGTATAGTTTGAAGTCAGGTAGCATGATGCCTCCAGCTTTGTTCTTTTGGCTTAGGAATGACTTAGCAATGCGGGCTCTTTTTTGCATTCATATGAACTTTAAGGTAGTTTTTTTCCAATTCTGTGAAGAAAGTCATTGGTAGCTTGATGGGGATGGCATTGAATCTGTAAATTACCTTGGGCAGTATGGCCATTTTCATGATATTGATTCTTCCTACCCATGAGCATGGATTGTTCTTCCATTTGTTTGTATCCTCTTTTATTTCCTTGAGCAGTGGTTTGTAGTTCTCCTTGAAGAGGTCCTTCACATCCCTTGTAAGTTTGATGCCTAGGTATTTTATTCTCTTTGAAGCAATTGTGAATGGGAGTTCACTCATGATTTGGCTCTCTGTTTGTCTGTTATTGGTGTATAAGAATGCTTGTGATTTTTGCACATTGATTTTGTATCCTGAGACTTTGGTGAATTTGCCTATCAGCTTAAGTATATTTTGGGCTGAGACGATGGGGTTTTCTAGATATGCAATCATGTCATCTGCAAACAGGGACAATTTGACTTCCTCTTTTCCTAATTGAATACCCTTTATTTCCTTCTTCTTCCTGATTGCCCTGGCCAGAACTTCCAACTTTATGTTGAATAGGAGTGGTGAGAGAGGGCATCCCTGTCTTGTGCCAGTTTTCAAAGGGAATGCTTCCAGTTTTTGCCCATTCAGTATGATATTGGCTATGGGTTTGTCATAGATAGCTCTTATTATTTTGAGATACGTCCCATCAATACCTAATTTACTGAGCATTTTTAGCATGAAATGTTGTTGAATTTTGTCAAAGGCCTTTTCTGCATCTACTGAGATAATCATGTGGTTTTTGTCGTTGGTTCTGTTTATATGCTGGATTACATGTATTGATTTGTGTGTGTTGAACCAGCCTTGCATCCCAGGGATGAAGCCCACTTGATCATGTTGGATAGACCAGTGGAACAGAACAGAGCCCTCAGAAATCATGCCACATATCTACAACTATCTGATCTTTCACAAACCTGACAAAAACAAGAAATGGGAAAGGATTCCCTATTTAATAAATGGTGCTGGGAAAACTGGCTAGCCATATGTAGAAAGCTGAAACTGGATCCCTTCTTTACACCTTATACAAAAATTAATTCAAGACGGATTGAAGATTTAAATGTTAGACCTAAAACCATAAAAACCCTAGAAGAAAACCTAGATAATACCATTCAGGACACAGGCATGGGAAGGACTTCATGTCTAAAACACCAAAAGCAATGGCAACAAAAGCCAAAATTGACAAATGGGATCTAATTCAACTAAAGGGCTTCTGCACAGCAAAAGAAACTACCATCAGAGTGAACAAGCAACCTACAGAATGGGAGAAAATTTTTGCAATCTACTCATCTGACAAAGGACTAATATCCAGAATCTACAATGAACTCAAACAAATTTACAAGAAAAAAACAAACAACCCCATCAAAAAGTGGGCAAAGAATATGAGCAGACACTTCTCAAAAGAAGACATTTATGCAGCCAAAAGACACAAGAAGAAATGCTCATCATCACTGGCCATCAGAGAAATGCAAATCAAAACCACAATGAGATACCATCTCACACCAGTTAGAACGGCAGTCATTAAAAAGTCAGGAAACATCGGGTGCTGGAGAGGATGTGGAGAAATAGGAACACTTTTACACTGTTGGTGGGACTGTAAACTAGTTCAACCATTGTGGAAGTCAGTGTGGCGATTCCTCAGGGATCTAGAACTAGAAATACCATTTGACCCAGCCATCCCATTACTGGGTATATACCCAAAGGATTATAAAACATTCTGCTATAAAGACACATGCACACGTATGTTTATTGCAGCACTATTCACAATAGCAAAGAGTTGGAACCCACCCAAATGTCCAACAATGATTGACTGGATTAAGAGAATGTGGCACATATACACCATGGAATACTATGCAGGCATAAAAAAGGATGAGTTCATGTCCTTTACAGAGACATGGATGAAGCTGGAAACCATCATTCTCAGCAAACTATTGCAAGGACAAAAAACCAAACACCAGATGTTCTCACTCATAGGTGGGAATTGAACAATGAGAACACATGGACACAGGAAGGGGAACATCACACACCAGGGCCTGTTGTGGGGTGAGGGGAAGGTGAAGGGATAGCATTAGGAGATATACCTAATGCTAAATGTTGAGTTAATGGGTGCAGCACACCAACATGGCACATGTATACTGTGTAACAAACCTGCACGTTTTGCGTATGTACCCTACAACTTAAAGTATATAAAAAAAAAAAAACACTTTCCAGTGTTTTGGAAAGTCTCTCATTAACGAGATCTTTCACTTGCATGGTTAGCTGTATTTCTATGTATTTTATTCTTCATGTGGCTATTGAGAATGGGATTGTTTCTTTATTTTGCTCTCTGCTTGGATGTTATTAGTGTAAAGAAGTGCCACTTATTTATGTACATTGATTTTGTATTCTGAAACTTTGCTGAAATTGTTTATCAGATCTAGGAGCCTTTGGGCAGAGGGTCTTTCACTTGTCTCTTAGGGCTCCACTCCAGATAAATGCAGAGCCGCTGCGAATCAAAATGATCAGCCCGGGGTGGCGAAGCTGCATCGTGGGTCCAAGCCCGAGGGACCTGCCTGGCGATAAGCAGGGGAATCAGTGGGTTCAGAGGAAGACAGACTGGCCTCTTCTTTATAAGGCAGCTGAAGCATATTGGAGATGCAAGTAAGGCACTCAGGGTCCTTGTTCCTTTCCCAGTCTGAATGCAGCAAGGACAATAGCATTGCAGTGGCAATGTCAGAGGGACTTGCAGTTGCTTCTGGGAGCTCCACTCCAGAAATGCAAAGCTGCTGCCAATGGGAATGTTCATTCTTGGGTGGGTCAGCTGCACTGTGGGTCCAAGCTTGGGGCCTTGCCTGCTGAAGGGTAGGGGGTGGAGGTTCACAGGGAAGAGAGACTGGGCTCCCGTCTATATGGCAGCTGTGATGTATTGGAGGTGCCGGTAAAGCGACTAGGCACATTCTTTTATTCCCCAGCCCAAGGGAAGTAAGAACGTTTCCACTGCAGCTGCTATGGCCGAGGGTCTGTGGGTTTACTCTGGGATTACTTTCCCAGACAAATGCAGAGCCACCATTAACTGAAATGTTCAAGTGGGGAGAGTGCAGCTGTGCTAAGGGCCCAGGTTGAGAGACACTGTCCAGTGAGGAGCAACAGCGGCAAGGAACTGCACTGAAAACAATCTGGCCACTTTTCTCAAGTCAGTTGTGCTAGAGACCTGTGATAGTTTTTAAGTTCTTCACTCCCTCCAGAGCCTGAGGGCAGTAGGAGTGGAGACTGCAGAGCAGGAAAAATGGTAAGCCTTCTACCTCTGAATTCTCTGTTTCAGGGAAATGCAGAGCTGCTACGTGTCCAAGAGCTCAAGTGCTGTGGTGGCTGTGCTTGGGTCCCATGTTTAGAGGTCCTGCACAGTGAGGAGTAGGAAGGTCAGGGACATGGGTGGAAAATAGTCTGGCCACTTTTCTGCGAAGTGTGGTGGCATTGTGCTGGAGGCCTGCAATAGTTCTTAAGCGTTTTGCTCTCGAGCCTGAGGTCAGTAGGAGCAGGGGCTGTGGCAGTCACAAAAATAGGGGGCTGTCTTTTCCTTTGGGAGCTTCATACCAGGGAAAGCTGGAACTGCCACTGGCTTGAGAGTTCAGAGGGGCTGGTTGGGTGGCTGCCTTGGGGCCCTAGGCCTGTTGACTTTGTCTGGCAAGGTGTAGCAGTGGCAAGGCCTGCAATCTGTTCAATCCTCAACACTGTGGATGCAGCTTTTATCCTGGTGGCATGCAAGAGTGCCTGGCTTCCCTTGTTAGTGGAGCTACTGCTGCAATGGTGCTCAGGATTCCAAGTCCCCTGGGACTCCATGTGTGTCTGAGGGGCATCTCTACTCAGACTTCAGGCAGCTCTCAATGTCAGTCTGTATGCCCTGTAGAGAAGGGATCGGGGAGGGGAATCTTCTGTTTCTGGGATTGCAAAGATACATAACCGAAGTAAAGTTCACTGAGGACTCACTTACTCACCATTTCCCCACAGTGGGGACCCTCCCGTGGCTCCACGCCAATCCCCGGTAGGCAGCTGTCCTGTCTCACTCTTCTCTCTTCCATGCAACTTTCTCATACTCTGTGGGTTGTCTTTTTCCTCTGTTCACTTTGTCCTTTGTTGCACAGATGTTTATAATTTTGATGTAGTAGTCCAATTTATTTATTTTTGTCTGTGATGTCATATCCAATAAATCATTGCCAAATCAAATGTCGTAGAGCTTTCTGCCTACGTTTTATGCTAAGAGTTTTAGAGTTCTAGCTCTTATGTTTAAGTCCTAGATCAATTTTGAGTTAACATTTGTATGTAGTGAAAGGTAAGGTTCAAATTTTATTCTTTTGAATATGGATATTTAGTTTTCCAAAAACTACTTGTTGAAAAGACTGACCCACCATTTAATGGTCTTTGCATCCTTGTGGAAAATCACACATATATGTGAGAGTTTAATTCTTGGTTCCTTACCCTACTCCCTTGGTCTGTATGTCTGTCTTTATGCCAAAACTATATTGTTTAGATTTCTGTAACTTTGTAGAAAGTTTGGAAACCACAAAGTGTGATATCTCTAACTTTGTTCTCTTTCAAGATTGTTTTGGCTATTCAAAGTATCTTGAGATTCTATATGAATTGTAAGATGAATTTTTCTACTTATGAAAAAAATGTTGCTCACACTGGGATAGAAATTACATTGAATCTGTAAATTACTTTGGATATTCTTCACATCTTAACAATATTAAGTCTTCTTCTTAAACGTTAGACATAAAACCATAAAAACCCTAGAAGAAAACCTAGGCATTACCATTTAGGACATAGGCATGGGCAAGGACTTCATGTCTAAAATACCAAAAGCAATGGCAACAAAAGCCAAAATTGACAAATGGGATCTAATTAAACTAAAGAGCTTCTGCACAGCAAAAGAAACTACCATCAGAGTGAACAGGCAACCTACAAAATGGGAGAAAATTTTCACAACCTACTCATCTGACAAAGGGCTAATATCCAGAATCTACAATGAACTCAAACAAATTTACAAGAAAAAAACAAACAACCCCATCAAAAAGTAGGTGAAGGACATGAACAGACACTTCTCAAAAGAAGACATTTATGCAGGCAAAAAACATATGAAAAAATGCTCACCATCACGGGCCATCAGAGAAATGCAAATCAAAACCTCAATGAGATACGATCTCACACCAGTTAGAATGGCAATCATTAAAAAGTCAGGAAACAATAGGTGCTGGAGAGGATGTGGAGAAATAGGAACACTTTTACACTGTTGGTGGGACTGTAAACTAGTTCAACCATTGTGGAAGTCAGTGTGGCGATTCCACAGGGATCTAGAACTAGAAATACCATTTGACCCAGCCATCCCATTACTGGGTATATACCCAAAGGACTATAAGTCATGCTGCTATAAAGACACATGCACACGTATGTTTATTGTGGCACTATTCACAATAGCAAAGACTTGGAACCAACCCAAATGTCCAACAATGATAGACTGGATTAAGAAAATGTGGCACATATACACCATGGAATACTATGCAGCCATAAAAACTGATGAATTCATGTCCTTTGTAGGGACATGGATGAAATTGGAAATCATCATTCTCAGTAAACTATCACAAGAACAAAAAACCAGACACTGCATATTCTCACTCATAGGTGGGAATTGAACAATGAGATCACATGGACACAGGAAGGGGAACATCACACTCTGTGGACTGTTGTGGGGTGGGGGGAGGGGGAGGGATAACTTTAAGAGATATACCTAATGCTAAATGACGAGTTAATGGGTGCAGCACACCAGCATGGCACATGTATACATATGTAACTAACCTGCACATTGTGCACATGTACCCTAAAACTTAAAGTATAATAATAATAAAATAAAATAAAATAAAAATATGAAGTCTTCCAGTCTATGAATTTGAAATGTGTATTTATTGGTGTCTTCAATTTGTTTTAGCACAGCATTGTAGTTTGCAATATAGAAGTTGCTCAACTCTGTCTTATCCTGTTTGGGCTGCTGTAACAAAATACTATAAACCTGGTGGCTTATAAACAACATGATTTTTTACAGCTCTGGAGGTTGGGAAGTCCAGGCACCAGCAGGGTAAGTGTCTGGTGAGGCCAGGTTTTTCTGGTTCATAGATGATAACTTCTGCCTGTGTTCTTACATGTTGGAAGAGACAAGGCAGCTTTCCGGGGCTTCTTTTATAAGGACACTAATCCCATCTATAAGAGCTAAACCCTCCTGATCTAATTACCTAAAAACGTTCCCCCAACTCCTAATTTAATCACATCAGTGATTAGGTTTTGACATGTGAATTTGGGGGATTCAAAAATTCCGAACATAGCAGCCTCCTTGGTTAAGTTTACTCCAAAATATTTTATATATTTTTTGCTCTTGTAAGTGGAATTGTTTTCTAAATTTCCTTTTCAGATAGCTCATTGTTAGTTTATTGAAATGAAAGTGATTTTTCACGTTTGCAAGCATCCTAGTCTTGTTCCTCATCTTAAAGGAAAAGCTTTCAGTCTTTCACCATTAAGTATGAGGATAGTTGTGAGCTTTTCACATATGACTTTTATTATTTTGAAGTAGTTTTCTTCTATTTCTGGTTCGTTCAGTGGGTTTTTTTTAATTATGAAAGGGTGTTGATTTTTTTCTTTTTTTTTCTTTTATTATTATACTTTAAGTTTTAGGGTACATGTGCACATTGTGCAGGTTAGTTACATATGTATACATGTGCCACACTGGTGCTCTGCACCCACTAACTCGTCATCTAGCATTTTTTCAAATAATTTCTCTGCATCAATTGAGATAATTATGTGGTCTTTTCCCTTAATTCTATTAATGTGATATATTACATTAATCAATTTTCTTATGTTGCCCCATCCTAGCATTTCTGGAATACATTTTACTTAGTTATAGCCTATAATCCTTTTAATATATCATTGAATTTTGCTTGCTAGTATTTTGTTCAGGACGTTTACATCAATAGTCATCATTGATGATTGTCTGCATTTTTTGTTTCTTGTAGTGTCTTTGTCCTTTTGATCATACTAATGATTGCCTTACAGAATGATTTGAGAGTGTTACCTCCTCTTCAACTTTTTGTAAGGCATTCAGATTGGAAAAAAAGTAGAACTATATCTGTTTGCATATAACATGGGCCCATATATTAACAAATCTCAATGACTAAACTAACAAAACTACTAGAAAAAAGAAAGTCATCAAATATTAGAATACAAGATCAATATGCAAGAATCAATTATATTTTATACACTAGCAATAAGCAATCTTAAAATAACATTGAGGAAACAATCCTACGTATAACATAAAAATCACATGATAGTAAATTTAAAGTAAGTGTAAGATTTTTTATATTAAGAACTATGCAAGCTTGTTAAAAAATTTAAAGAAGAGCTAAATAAATGAAAAGACATCCCATGTTCATGGATCAGAAGACTATTATTGTTAAGTTGGTAATAACCCCCAAATGATCTATAGATTCAAGGTACACAACATACAAAAATTCACTCAAGATGTATCAGAAACCTAAATGTAAGCACTTATAATGCTTTTAGTATTTGAAGAAATACTTTTAGAAGAAAACAAACATATAAATGGTTATAACCTTGGATTTGGAAATTGTTTCTTAGATATGAAATCAAAATCACAAGAAAAAATTGTTTGAAGCACAGAAAAATCAAGAACATGAAAGACTAAGCAAATATAAAACCTTTCTATGGGAAATTACCCTTAATTCAAACCCACAAGATTCCCAGATTGAAGGAAAGCTCTCCTTCTCCTGAAAAGAAAGTGAAAGACAACCCATAGAATAGGAGAAAAACTTTGCAAACAATAGATCTAATCGGAAAATTAAATATAGAATATATAAAAAATATTAAGACTCAATAATAAAAAGACAAATAACCCAATAAAAGTAGACAACAATCTGAATAAACATTTTTTCCAAAGAAGGTATTCAAATTGCAAATAAACACATGGAAAGATGTGCATTAGGAAATTTCAAATTAGGGAACTACAAATCAAAGCTACAATGAGGTACCCCTTTGAACACACTGGAATGTCTATAATTTAAAATCTGGACAATAACAATTGCTAGTGAAGATATTAAGAATTGGGACCATCATACATTGCTGGTGGAAATGTAAAATGATGTATATCCCCTTTGCATACAGTTTGTCAATTCCTCAATGGTGAAACATAAGTTTCCTACAATCTAGCAATTTCTCTCTTACTTACATACTCAAGAGGAATAAAGAATATGCTCACAGAAAAACTTGTTCATGAATATCCATAGTAGCACCATTCACAAAAGCTAAAAACTGGAAACAAGTCAATACTTGCCAATTGATAAGTGTATAAATAATACATGGTATGTCCACATAATGGGATACTATTAATCAACAAAAACTAACACAGTGACACATGGAACATGAATAAACCTTGAAAATATTATGTTAAATAGAATCAGTCACAAAATAATTCACATTGTATAATTCCATTTTTATAAAATTAAAGAGTAGGCAAATCAAAAAAAAAGAAAGCAGATTACTGGTTACCTGGGACTGGGTGGTTATGGGGGCAAGAATGAGTAACTGCTATGAGATAAAGACTTTATTTTCAGGATGATAAAAGTTTTCTAAAATCAATTATGATGTATGTTGCACAATTTGTGAATATACTAAAACGTTGAATTGTATAGTGCACATGGTGAATTGTGTGGTATGTGAATTGTATTTTGATAAAGGTTTTATCAAAATTTTTATAATGTATATAATATTTACTCCAGTAAATATGGTGTAAGAGGCATTAAATATGCCTTTTCATGTGAAAAAAATTGAAAATAGAATATGTGAATTAACTTTTTTCAGATAGTAGATATGGGTCAACAAATGACAGTAATCCGTTGGTGATGGAAAAAAACTGAATGTACTCTACAATTGCCTCCACTTAGTTCACAAAGTTACATGGAAGAAGATTCCAGGCAAAACCTGGATGTCTATATGAGTTGAGGTAATGGATTGGGGGTCTAGAGAGGCCAAGGAAAATAGAATTTACAGAACAGAATATCATAATGAAGAGATTTCCTACATAGGGAGAACTCTGAAGTTTTGCAATGAGTTTCCCTTGACTCTTCAGTTGTGTACTGATCAATGAGTGAAGGTGTGAAATCTAGTTAAGGAGGGGAAAGAACCACTTGAAGCAATACTCAGAGATTGCATACGGCAGACAAAACTACCTATTATTAACACCCAAAGTGGAGTACCTCATATTTCAAAGTGCATGGGTTAGAGTACCAAAAAGGTTCTTATTTCAGTAGTGGGAAAAAAATAGCCACAGACTAAATTCTAGCTGCGGTAATTCCAAAGAAACTTTAAAAAGGCACAAAGAGATCTGTTTCCAAGCATTTAAACTGCACTGCCGAATAAATGTGAAGAACATTTATAAGATAAAGAAAATCCAAAATGCAAAATGTAAAAATTTACATCTGGCATTAAGTTATAAATAACAGGTAGACAAAGACATGGGAAAATAAGGAGAAAATAAATTAATCACAATTCACTCCAAAAATGATAACGTTAGTAGACGAGGATATTAAAACCATCATTATAACTATATTTCATATGCTGATATTAGAGAAAATATTGATCATGTTACATAGAGACATGTAAGATTAAAAATAAAAAACCAAAAGACCCATACTGAACTTCTAGAGATAAACTACAAAACCTGAGATAAAAATTTCCTAGATGAAATTAATTCAGTGATATAGTTTGGATGTTGTCTCTGCTGAAATCTCATATCAAAATGTAATCCCCAATGTTGGAGGTGGGGCCTGATGGAAGGTGAATGGATCATGGAAACGAGTTTCACATAAGTGATTTAGTACCATCCCTTTGGTACTGTCCTCAAGATAGTGAGTGAGCTATCGTGAGATCTGGTTATTTAAAAGTGTGTGCTGCCTCCCCCTTCTCTATTTTGCTCCTGCTTTTGCCATATGATGTGCCTACTCCCCCTTCACCTTCTGCAATAATTGTAAATTTCTGGAGGCCTCCCCAGAAGCCAAGAAGATGTCCGCTATAAAGCCTGCTGAACCTTGAGCCAATTAAACCTCTTTTCTTTATAAATTACCTAATCTCATTTATTTCTTTATAGCAATGCAAGAACAACCTAATACATGCAGATTAGACATTTTGGAAGAAACAACTAATGAATTTGGTAAAATAATAATAAGACATCTCCAGACTAGTTGGTACATGATGGCCAAATAGGAGCCCACCCATCATCCTCCCTGCACAAACACCAAATTAACAACTATCAACATAAAAAAGCACATTCGTAGAAACCAAAAATCAGGTGAATGATCACAGTATCTAGTGTTAACTTCACGGCTTAGAAAGAGGTAGCGAAGGGAATAAAAAAGACATTCTTGAATTGCAGACACCACCTCTCCTTCACTTCCTTCACTCCTCCTTCACTTCCTTCACCGCTCCTTCACTTCATTCTCCTTCACCACCTCTCCTTCACCAGTAGTGGCTACATGGCATGAAGAATCTCTGTGCTTGGAAAAGAAAGAGTACAGTGATGTGGGACATTGCATGGGAAGTCACTTCTGCCGGGTCATAGTGGAAAGCAACATTGGACAGAACTCAGCTGAAGCCCATGGAGGAAACATTTAGAACATCCCTAGCCAGAGAGGAATCATGCATCACAGTGGCTGGAACATGAGTTTCAGCAAACCTCACCACTGCAAGCTAATGTACTCTGGGGTTCTAAATAAACTGGAATGACAGACGAAGCCACAAAAACTGCAGCTCCTAGAGAAGTCCTAATGCTGTGCTGGTCTTGGAGCCTGTGGAACTGGGGGGCATGTGACCTACTGAGATGGCAACCAGGGGATCCAAGGAAGTACTTGAGCCACCACTCTCCCAACCCCAGGCAGCACAGCTCACAGCTCTGAAAGAGACTTTCTTCCACTTGAGAAGAGGAGAGAGAAGATCACGAAGGACTTTGTCTTGCAACATATATTCCAGCTTAGCCACAAAAGATCGGGCACCAGAACAGAGGCATGAGGCACTCATTCCAAGCACTAGATCCCAGATTACATTTCTAGACATAACTTAGGCCATAAGGAAACTCACTTCCTTGAAAAAAGAAGCCCTGTCCTGGCAGAATTTATTTCCTAATGACTAAAGAGCCCTTGGGCCCTGAATAATTAGCAGTGGTAGCCAGGTAGCACTCGCCATGTCTGGTTATTACTCAGACATACTGGCTTCAGGACTGACAGAACAAATTCCCAGCTGGAGGCTATAGGGTAAGTTTTCTGCTTGAGAAAAGCAGAGAAAAGAGTAAAGAGGACTTGGTCTTGCAGCTTAGGTATCAGTTAAGGCATGATTGAGTAGAGTACCAAGTGGGTACTTGGGGTCCTTGATTCTAGGCCTTGGCTATTTGGTGGCCTTTCTGGACAAGGCAAGAGGGGAGCCCAGTTCCCTGAAGGATGAGTCCAAAAACTGGCAGCATTCACCACAACCTGACTGAAGACTCCTTCAGCCTTGAGTGAACATTGGTGGTGGCCTGGCACTACTCCCAACAAACCTGTGGTGGTAGTGTTCATGGCAAGAGATTCCTCTGCTTGTAGAAATGGAAGGGAAGAAGGGAATGGACTGTCTTATGGCTTCTATGCCATCTCAGGCACAGTAGAATACAGCACCTGGTAGATTCCTAAGATTTCCAACTCCAGGCCCTGGCTTGTGGACAGAATCTCTAGCCCTGCCTAGGTTCAGGAAGAACTCACAGCCTTGGAGGAAAGGGGATAACCTTGGCTGGCTTTGCCACCTGCTGACTGTAGAGCCCAAGGGCCTTGAACAAACAAAGGCAGTAGCCAGGTTGTTGTTACCGTGGGACCTGGGAGAGACCCAGTGCAGTGCAATGCTGGCATCAGGTTTGACCCAGTGCAGTCCTAGTTATGGTGGCCACAGGTGTGCGTGGCTACACCTCCCCAAACTCCAGGCAGCTCAGCACAGAGAAAGAGACACCATTTGTTTGGATGAAAGCAGGGGAACAGAACAAAACTCTCTGCGTGGTAATCCAGATAATCTTCTGAATCATACCCAAAACAAACTAGGCATCAAGTACATCTATGAGTCTGCAAGAGCCACAGTGTTACCTGGCTTTGGGTGTCCACTAATGCAGACATGACATGGCTGCATAGCTGCAGTGACCAAAGGCTTAGATCATAACACCCAAGTCCCTTCAAACATGTGTAAAGCCTTCCTCCCTCCAAAACAAATCCCAGGTACAAATAGGCCCATACTGTGAAGACTACATTAAATAATTAACTCTTCATTGCCCAGCAACCAGTGAACATCCACAAGCATCAAGATGATCCATGAAAATGTGATCTCATGAAATGAAGTAGATAAGTGACCAGAGACAGAGGTATGTAAATTTTCAGGCAGAGAATTCAAAATAGCTGTTTTGTAGAAACTCAATGAAACAAAAGATAATACACAGAAAAAAATTCAGAATGAAATTAGATAAATTTAAGAAAAAAAGATTGAAATAATTAAAAAGAATCAAGGAGAAACTCTTGATTCAAAAAATGTAATTCACATGCTGAAGAATGAGTTACAGACTCTTAATAGCAGAATAGATTAGATCAAGCAGAAAAAAATTAGTGAGCTCGAAGACAGGCTATTTGAAAATACACAGAGAAGACAAAAGAATAAATGATAAAAAAAGTAGCATGTCTACAAGATCTAGAAAACAGTTTCAAAAAAGCAAATCTGAGAGTTACTGGCCTTAAGGAGAAGGTAGAGAGAGAGAAAAGAGCATAATATTTATTCAAAAGGATAATAACACAGTACTTTCCAAACCTAGAGAGAGATACCAATATTTAAGGGCAGAGGTGGAACAAGATAGGAGAATAGAAAGCTCCATCAATCATAGCCCGCCCACAAGGACATCAAGTTGACAACTTTCTACAAAATTGCTACTTTATTTTCCACTGAAAATTAAGTGATTATAAGAATCCCAAATCAGGTAAGCACTCATAGTACCTGGTTTTAACATCATATCGCTGAAAGAAGCACTAAAGAGATAGGAAAAACAGTCGTGAACTGCTGATGCCACTCCTTCCCCACCACTGGCAGTGGTGGTCTGGTGCAGAGAGCTTCTCTGAGTGCTGAGGGACAGAGAAGACAGCAATTGTGAGGCATTAAATTCAGCCTCATTCTGTTAGAGCAGAAAAAAGAACCAGACTAAACTCAGCTAATGCCCATGCACAGAGGGAGCATTTAAACCAGCCCTAAACAGAGGTAAATCACCTACCCAAGCAGTCTAAACTCAAGTGCTCATAAACCTCCTCGTAGAGGACCAAAGTACTCTTGGTCTCTAAGTGAACTCGAAAGGAAGTCTAGGCCATAGGGACTGCAAATTTTAGTTGAATCCTAGGGCTAAGCTAGATCCAGAGACAATGGACTGGTAGGGCATATGACATGCTGAGACACAGCTGGGGCAGCCAAGAGGGTGCTGGTATCACCCCTCCTTTAACCCCAGGCTGCACAGCTCACGGCTCCAAAAGAGACCCATTTATTCTGCTAGGGGAGAGGAAAGGACAGAGTGGGGAGGACTTTGACTTGCATCTTGGATACCAGCTCAGCCACAGCAGGATATGGCACTGGTCAGTGTCATGAGGCCCCCTGTATTAGTCAGGGTTCAGGGTTTTCTATAGAAACAGAATATATATATATATATATATTCTGTTTCAGGCTGAGGATCAAAGAGAGCCAGTTCAAGTTCCAAAACTAAAGAACTTGGAGTCTGATGTTGAAGGGCAGAAGCATCCAGCAGAGGAGAAAGAGGTAGGCTGGGGGGCTAGGCCAATCTCTCCTTCCACATTTTTCTGACTGCTTATGTTCTAACCGAGCTGGCAGCTGATTAGATTGTGCCTACTCAGATTAAGTGTGGGTCTGCCTTTCTCAGCTCACTGACTAAACCTCAATTCTCAATCTCACCTCTAGGAGCCCATCAGGACTTTAGTCTAGTTACAGGTCTAGAAGCAAACAGGGGTGTTGGGGGTAGCTCCTGAGGAGGATCAACATTATCTTGCCTGGAAACTACCTCAGGGGAGGCCATCATTGTTGCCTCAGGCAGTGCAGGGTTTATCTCCTCAGACAAAGGTGGAAAGGCTGATGGCAGCATGGACTGGGGAGGCGATATTGCCACTACTGGGGATGGGTAAGCTGTTTCCTCTGGCAAAAATATTTATCAGAGTATATAAACTCAGTGCCCCAACGTCATCAGAGTCTTCCCACATGTCTCTATTCCAAGTGGCAGGGTCACATTCTTTTCCAACCAATGCCCTCACTTTAACAGTAAACACCTGGCAAGGCTGTGCATGCACCTTTCGTTGAAGGTCAGCTACTTACATGATAAGAGCTTGTGTCTGTTTTTCCACAATTTTAGTTCTTTTTCTACAGGAGATAAGACTCTCACTCAGGTCAATCTTAGCAGATTTGAGACTCAGTATTTGCTTCTGAAGCTGGGAGTAGAATCCCCGAGTTCATCATTTTTTTCACCACTTTGTTCACTGAACTTAGGAGCAACCAACCAGCTTCATTATGTTCCTTGGTTCTTTACATATGGTCAAAGGTATTATGTATAGTCACTAAACTCCTCGCCTCTCATGAGCAATGAATCAGGAGTGTCAAATGCATTTATTTTGCTAAGCCTCTAAACAGTTCACACCAAGGACCATTAGTGTCCTCCATACTATTAGAAGTAGAGTCCTTAACATTTTTGTGTCTAATTATATTAAGCAGCCAACTCCAGAAACCCTCAGGCCAACAAAAGAACTCCATCTTTAATATTCTGTTCTTCTAGAACCACTCTGGTAACAAAATCTGTATTAGTCAGGGTTCTGTAGAGAAATAGAACTAAGGGGATATATATATATATATATATATATATATATATATATCACCACAAGGTCCTACAATAGGCTGTCTGCAGGCTGAGGGGAAAGGAGAACCAATCCGAGTTCCAAAACTGAAGAATTTGGTGTCTGATGTTCGAGGGCAGGAAGAATCCAGCATGGGAGAAAGATGTAAGCTGGGAGGCTAAGACAGTCTCTGTTTTCACATTTTTCTGCCTGCTTATATTCTAGCCATGCTGGCAGCAGATTAGATTGTGCCCACCAGATTAAGGGTGGGTCCGCCTTTCCCAGCCCACTAACTCAATTGCTAATCTCCTTTGGCAACACCCTCACAGACACATCCAGGATCAATACTTTGTATCTTTCAGTCCAATCGAGTTGACACTCAGTATTAACCATTGCACCTCTATTCCAGGCCCTAGCTCCCAGACAACTTTTCTAGACAAACCCTGGTCCGAAAGGGAAACCACTGCCTTGAAGGAAAGAACTCAGTACCAGCAGCATTCATCGTCTGCTACCTAAAGAGCCCCTGGCCTCAAATAACCAGCAGAGATACCCAGGTAATACATTGAAGGCCTTGGGTGAGCCTCTGAAACTTGCTGGCTTGAGGTACAAATCCCATCATAGGAAGGGAGGGCACCAAGCAAGCTCTTAGGGTCCCTGATTTTAGGATTTGACCCTTGAATGGAATTTCTGGACCAGGTCTGGACCAGTCGAGAGGCCACTGCCCTGAAGGATGAGTCCCAGGCCAGGCAGCATTCACCTCAAGCTGCCTTAAGAGACCTTGGGCCTTAATGGAACATCAGTGGTAGACTGGAAGTACTCCTCATGGACAGGGGTGTCAGTGGCTACTGGTTAAGGCCACCCTTAACCTGTACACAGAGGAGACAAAATACACAGTCAGATGAGAAAAAAGAAAAAAGAAAGAAACAAGCACACCAACAGGATCTAGAAAATTGCCTCAAAAGGGCCAATCTAAGAGTACGGCATTAAAGAGAAGGTAGAAAAAAAGAAAGGAGTAGAAAGTTTATTTAAAAAAGATAATGACAGAGAATTTCCCCAACCTAGATAAAGATATCAATACTCAAGTACAAGAAGTAAAACGCCAAACATATTTAACCCAAACAAGACTACCTCAAAGCATTTAATAATTAAACTCCCAAAGGTCAAGAATAAAGAAGGGATCCAAAAGCAGAAAGAGGAAATAAATAAATAACATACAATGGAGCTTTAATACATCTGGAAGCAGACTTTTCAATGGAAACCTTACAGATCAGAAAAGAGGCATGACATATTTAAAGTGCTAAAGGAAAAAAGAAACCATTTACCCTACAACAGCATATCCAGCAAAAATATACTTCAAACATGGATGAGAAACAAAGACTTTTCTAGACAAACAAAAGATGAGGAAATTCATCACACCAAACATGTCCTACAACAAATGCTAAAGGGAGTACTTCAATCAGAAAAGAAAAAAAAAGAACATTAATGAGCAACAAATAATCACCTGAAAGTACAAAACTCACTGGTAAAAGTTAGTACAGAGAAAAACAAAAAAATATTATAACACTGTAGCTGTGGTGTGTATCTACTTTTATCCTAAACAGAAAGACTAAACAATAAACCAATAAAAATAATAACCACAACTTCTCAAGATGTAGTCAGAACTGTAAGACATAAATAGAAACAATAAGAACTTTATAAGTTGGGGGATAAATTTAAGGCAAGTTTTTATTAGTTTTCTTTTTGCTTTTTTATTTGTTTCTACAAAGAGCATGAGGCTGTCATCAGGTTAAAATAATAGATTATGAGATATGATTTGCAAGCCTCATGGTAATCTCAAACCAAAACACATACAATGGACACACAAAAACTAAAAAGCAAAAACAAGCAAACAAACAAACAAACACTAAATCACCTCACCAGATAAAATTATCTTCACTAGAGGAAGACAGCACGGAAAGAAAGAAGGATGAGAAGGCTGCAAAACAAACAGAAAACAAATAACAAAATGGCAGGAGTAATTCTTTACTTATCAATAATAACATTGAATGTAAATGAACTAAATGCTTCAATCAAAGGCATAGGCTAACTGAATGAATAAAATAAAGACAAGACCCATTAATATGTTACCTACAGGAAATATATATTACCTATAAAAACACTCAGACTAAAAATTAAGTGATGGAAAACGATATTCCATGCCAATGCAAACAAACAAAAAAACAAAAACAGGAGTTGCTATACTTACATCAGACAAATTATATTTCAAGACAAAAAACTATTAGAAGAGTCAAACAAGGTCACCATATAATGAAAAAAGAGTCAATTAAGCAGGAGAATGTAACAATTTTAAATATATATGTACCCAATACTGGAGCACCAAGGTATAGAAAAAATATGTTTTTAGAGTTAAAGGGAGAGATAGGCCCTGATCCAAAATAGCTAGAGACATCATCCTCTCACTTTCAGCACTAAACACATCTTCCAGACAAAATACCAACAAAGAAACACCAGAGTTAATCTGCACTATAGACAAACTTAACCTGCACTATGGATCTAATAGATATTTACAGAACATTTCATCTAAGAGCTGCAGAATACACATTCTTTTCCTCAGCACATAGATTATTCTCAGAAACAGATCATATATTAGGTCACAACTCAAGTCTTAAACATTAAAAAAATTGAAGTAATATTGAGCATCTACTCTGACCACAAAGGAATAAAACTAAAATTAATAACAGAAGTATTTTGGAAATAATACAAACGTGAAAATTAAACAATATGATCCTGAATGACCAGTGGGTCAATAAAGAAATTAAAAAGAAAATTGAAAAATTTCTTGGAAAAAATGAAAGCACAACATACCAAAACTGATGGGATACAGTGAATCAGTACTAAAAGGGAAGATTACAGCTATAAGTGCCTACATCAAAAAAGTTAAAATACTTAAAAAAAAAAAAAAACATATCCATGGTCGGGCATGGTGCCTCATGCCTATAATCCCAGCACTTTGGGAGATTGAGGAAGGCAGATCACTTGAGCCCAGGAGTTTGAGATCAGCCTGGGCACCATGGCAAAAGCCAGTCCCTACAAAAAATTAGATGGGTTGGTGGTGTGCACCTGTAGTCCCAGCTACTTGGGAGGCTGAGGTGGGAGAATCATCTGAGCCTGAGAAGTCAATGCTGTAGTAAGCCATGATTCCACCACTGCACCCCAGGCTGGGTGACAGAGTAAGATCCTGTCAAATAAATAAATAAATAATATTCAGAGAGTAAAAGAAGAAGTAAAACTCTCTTTACTCACAAAGGCCATAACCATTTATGTAGAAAATCATATGAAATCTGCAAAAAGGAAACAAGAAGTAACAACTAAATTTTATAAGTTTGAAGGATATCAGATCAATGTAGATACAACTGAATGTCAATATATCAGCAAGGAATAATTGAACATACTGACATTTACAATAGCATAAAAATATAAAATACTGAGGGGTTTAATCTGACTAAAGATGTGCAATCCTGTACATTGATTTCTAGACTACAAAAATTTACTGAGAGAAAATTTAAAAGACCAAAAATAAATGGAGAGATATATCAAATTCCTGAGTTAGAAGACTGAATATTGTTAAGCTATAGAAAATGAAAAGCTGACTCAATAATCATTTGCAAATACATAAGATCTAGAATAGCCAAACAGGTTTAAAGTAGAAGAACAAAGTTAAAAGACTAAAATTGAGCAACCCCCTTTGGGTCCCCTCCCATTTTAAAGGAGCTCTGTTTTCACTCTATTAAATCTTGCAACTGCACACTCTTCTGGTCCATGTTTGTTATGGCTTGAGCTGAGCTTTCGCTCGCCATCCACCACTGCTGTTTGTCACTGTCACAGACCCGCCACTGACTTCCATCCCTCTGGATCCAGCATGTTGTCCACTGTGCTTCTGATCCAGAGAGGTGCCCATTGCCACTCCTGATTGGGCTAAAGGCTCACCATTGTTCCTGCTTGGCTAAGTGCCTGGGTTCATCTTAATTGAGCTGAACACTACTCGCTGGGTTCCACGGTTCTCTTCCATGACCCACAGCTTCTAGGAGAGCTATAACATTCACCACATGGCCCAACATTCCATTCCTTGGAATCTGTGAGGCCAAGAACCCCGGGTCAGAGAACAAGAAGCTTGCCACCATTTTGGAAGTGGTCTGCACCATCTTGGGAGCTCTAAGAACAAGAACCGCCCCCCCGCCAGTAACATTTTGGCAACCACAAAGGGACCTCCAAAGCAGTGAGTAATATTGGACCACTTTCACTTGCTATTCTGTCCTATCCTTCCTTATAATTGGAGGAAAATACCAGGCACCTATCAGCCAGTTAGAAATGATTAGCATGGCTGCCTGACTTAAGACTCAGGTGTGAGGCTGTCTGGGAAAGGGCTTTCTAACAAACCCCAACCCTTCTGGGTTGGGAGCGTTGGTCTTCCTGGAGCCAGCTTCCACTTTGAATTTTCCTAGGGAAGCTGAGGGCCAACTAGAGGCAGAAAGCTGTCATCCTGAACTCCCTGCATTAGCCAGTTGAGATAATAGCACAGCCAGAAGTCTCTGCTCAACAGTCGCCCATGCGTGCACCCGTACCTCTCCCTCTGAACCATACCTCCTGGGTCCTGACCATGACTTTCTTGAAAGTGTAGCCCCAAAATTCTCCTTACCTCTGAATCTACTTCCTCTGATCCCTGTCTCCTAGATACTAGTGCTTCAGACTTTCACTTCCTCTCCCAAGTATTAGAGCAGGTTGTATCTCCAAATGGATCTAAGGAAGCTCTATGTTGCATCCTCAGGCCCCTAAGCTATAAAACCAGGGAATCTTGTCCCTGGTGTCCCACCCAATTTAGGCATATAGCTCTCGATATGGGCACTTATGTGGGACCTGTTCCCCACCACCCTTGCCAGGGCCTTAGAACTGATAACCCAGTAATCCAATACTTTAACAACTGAAACTGGGTCTACAACAACATAATAGATCAGGATGAAAGCAAATTGAGTGAATTAAAGGGAGGTGCATATTCCTATAGTGGCAAATGGGGGCAATGAGTGAATGTCCTTCTGCTGTGTTTCCAAAAATCCATCTACTAAGGCAGAAAGGAGAAAGAAAGAGAGAAAGAGAAAGATAGAAGTAGTAAAGAAAAAACAGTGTACCCTATTTCTTTAAAAGCCAGGGTAAATTTAAAACCTATAACTGATAGCTGAAGGTTTTCTCTGTGACCCTATAACACTCCAATTCCACTTTGTTGTCAGCATAAACAAGGGCATAGCCCAAAAGCACTGAGGCCACTGACAACCAGTAGACTTTCTATCAAAAATCCTTAACCCAGGAACTTGTGGGTGGCCCAAATGCATTCCATCCATAGCAGAAACTGCTTTACTAACAGAAGAAAGTAAAAAATTAGCCTTTAGAGGAAACCTCATTGTGAGCACACCTCACTAGTTCAGAGTTATCCTAAGTCAAAAAAGCAAAAAGGGTAGCTTACTAACTCAAAAATCTTAAAGTATGGGGCTATTCTGTTTGAAAAAGATAATTTTACATTAACCACTGAAAATTCCCTTAACCCAGAAGATTTCCTAACAGGGAATTTAAATCTTAATTACCATACAAAGGTCTGACCAGACCTAGGAGGAACTCCTTCAGGACAGGACAATAGATGGTTCCTCCCAGGTGATTGAGAAAAAAACACAATGGGTATTCAATAATTGAGGGAAACTGTTGTAGAGGCAGAGTTAAGTAAATTGCCTAATAATTGGTCTATTCAAATGTGTGAGCTGTTTGCACTCAGTCAAGCTTTAAAGTACTTACAGAATCAAAAACCTCTATCTCAATCCTGACTCAAAAGATTACCCACACCCTCTCTGAAATGAATTTGCATAAGAACTGTTGTTTGTAGGAATGCATCTTGATGGGGCAACTGGGTTATTATGAAATACTCAGGAACCCAGCCCAGCTCTAGAACTCACCCTGAGCCCAAAGGCAATGTCGGGCATGCTGGAAAAGGACCACTAGAATCCAGCAGCCCGGACCCCTTTCTTTGTGGTCAGAAAAGGTGGGAAAAGAGGTGCAAGACTGCTACATCAGTAAGTGTAACTAATCTAATAAGCAGATGTCCATGGGTGGTTATGCACCTTGGAAAGGAATAAGCATTAGGACCATAGAGGACACTCTAGGACTAATGCTCATTGGAAAATGACTAGGGGTGCTGGCATCCCTATGTTCCTTTTTCAGATGAGAAACGTTCCCCCCAAGGCAAAAACACCCCTAAGATGTATTCTGGAGAATTCGGCCCAGCCAGGGTGTATGTACCTTTTTCCCTCTCAGACTTGAAGCAAATTAAAATAGACTTAGGTAAATTCTCAGATAACCCTGATGGCTATATTGATGTTTCACAAGAGTTAGGACAATCCTTTGATCTGACATGGGGAGATATAATGTGACTGCTAGATCAGACACTAACCCCAAATGAAAGAAGTGCTGCCATAATTGCAGCTTGAGAGTTTGGCAATCTCTGGTATCTCAGTCAGGTCAATGATAGGATGACAACAGAGGAAGGAACAATTCTCCACGGGCCAGCAGGCAGTTCCCAATGTAGAACCTCACTGGGACACAGAATCAGAACATGGAGGTTGGTGCTGCAGACATTAGCTAACTTGCATGCTAGAAGGACTAAGGAAAACTAAGAAGAAGCCTATGAATTATTCAATGATGTCCGCTATAACACAGGGAAAAGAAGAAAATCCCACTGCCTTTCTGGAGAGACTAAGGGAGGCATTGAGAAAGCATACCTCTCTGTCACCTGACTCTATTGAAGGCCAACTAATATTAAAGGATAAGTTTATCACTCAGTCAGCTGAAGACATTAGAAAGAAACTTCAGAAGTCCACCTTAGGCCTGGAGCAAAACTTAGAAACCCTATTGAACTTGGCAACCTCAGATATTTATAATAGAGATCAGGAGGAGCAGGTGGAACAGGACAAATGAGATAAGAAAAAGGCCACTGCTTTAGTCATGGCCCTCAGGCAAGTGGACTTTGGAGGCTCTGGAACACGGAAAGGCTGGTCAAATTGAATGCCTAATAGGGCTTGCTTCCAGCACAATCTACAAGGACACTTTAAAAAAGATTGAATAGAAATAAGCCACCCCCTCGTCCATGCCCCTTATGTCAAGGGAATCACTGGAAGGCCCACTGCCCCAGGGGATGAAGGACCTCTGACTTAGAAGCCACTAACCAGGTGATCCAGCAGCAGGACTGAGGTTGCCCGGGGCAAGTGCCAGCCCATGCCATCACCCTCACAGAGCCCCGGGTATGCTTGACCATTGAGGGTTAGGAGGTTAACTATCTCCTGGACACTGGTGCAGCCTTCTCAGCCATACTCTCCTGTCCTGGAAAACTGTCCTCCAGATCTGTCACTATCCGAGGGTCCTAGGACAGCCAGTCACTAGATACTTCTCCCAGACACTAAATTGTGACAGGGGAACTTTACTCTTTTCACATGCTTTTCTAATTATGCCTGAATGCCCCGCTCCATTGTTATGGAGAGACATTCTAGCAAAAGCAGGGACTATTATACACCTGAACATACGAGAAGGAACACCCATTTGTTGTCCCCTGCTTGATGAAGGAATTAATCCTGGAGTCTGGGCAACAGAGGGACAATATGGATGAACAAAGAATGCCCATCCTGTTCAAGTTAAAGTAAAGGATTCCACCTCCTTTCCCTACCAAAGGCAGTACCCACTCAGACCCGAGGCCCAACAAGGACTCCAAAAGATTGTTAAGGACCTAAAAGCCCAAGGCCTAGTAAAACCATGCAATGGCCCCTGCAATACTCCAATTTTAGGAGTACAGAAACCCAAAGGACAGTGGAGGTTAGTTCAAGATTTCAGGATTATCAATGAGGCCGTTGTCCTCTATACCCAGCTGTATGTAACCCTTATACTCTGCTTTCCCAAATACCAGAGGAAGCAGAGTGGTTTACAGTCCTGGACCTTAAGGATGCCTTTTTCTGCATCCCTGTACATCCTGAATCTCAATTCTTGTTTGCCTTTGAAGATCCTTTGAACCCAATGTCTCAACTCACCTGGACTGTTTTACCCCCAGGGTTCAGGGAGAGCCCCCATCTATTTGGCCAGGCATTATCCCAAGACTTGAGCCAGCTCTCATACCTGGACACTCTTGTCCTTCGGTACCTGGATGATTTACTTTTAGCCTCCTGTTCAGAAACCTTGTGCCATCAAGCCACCCAAGCACTCTTAAATCTCCTTGCCACCTGTGGCTACAAGGTTTCCAAACCAAAGGCTCAGCTCTGCTCACAGCAGGTTAAATACTTATGGCTAAAATTATCCAAAGGCAACAGGGCCCTCAGTGAGGAAAGTATCCAGCCTATACTGACTTATCCTTATCCCAAAACCCTAAAGCAAATAAGAGGGTTCCTTGGCATAACAGGCTTCTGCCAAATATGGATTCCCAGGTACGGCAAAATAGCCAGACCATTATATACACTAATTAAGAAAACTCAGAAAGCCAATACCCATTTATTAAGATGGACATTTGAAGCAGAAGTGGCTTTCCAGGCCCTAAAGAAGGCCCTACCCCAAGCCTCAGTGTTAAGCTTGCCAATGGGGCAAGACTTTTCTTTATATGTCACAGAAAAAACAAGAATAGCTCTAGGAGTCCTTACGCAAGTCCGAGGGACCAGCTTGCAACCCGTGGCATACTTGAGTAAGGAAAGTGATGTAGTGACAAAGGGTTGGCCTCATTGTTTATGGGTAATGGCAGCAGTAGCAGTCTTAGTATCTGAAACAGTTAAAATGATACAGGGAAGAGATCTTACTGTGTGGACATCTCATGATGTGAACGGCATACTCACTGCTGAAGGAGACTTGTGGCTGTCAGACAACCATTTGCTTAAATATCAGGCCCTATTACTTGAAGGGCCAGTGCTGTGACTGTGCACTTGTGCAACTCTTAACCCAGCCACATTTCTTCCAGACGATGAAGAAAAAATAGAACATAACTGTCAAAAAGTAACTGCTCAAACCTACGCCACTCGAGGGGACCTTCTAGAGGTTCCCTTGACTGATCCTGACCTCAACTTGTATACTGATGGAAGTTCCTTTGTAGAAAAAGGACTTCAAAATGTGAGGTATGCAGTAGTCAGTGATAATGGAATACTTGAAAGTAATCCCCTCACTCCAGGAACTAGCACTCAGCTGGAAGAAATAACAGCCCTCACTTGGGCACCAGAATTAGGAGAAGGAAAAAGGATAAATATATATACAGACTGTAAGTATGCTTACCTAGTCCTCCATGCCCACGCAGCAATATGTAGAGAAAGGGAATTCCTAACTTCCAAGGGAACACATATTAAACATCAGGAAGCCATTAGGAGATTATTATTGGCTGTACAGAAACCTAAAGAGGTGGCAGTCTTACACTGCTGGGTCATCAGAAAGTAAAGAAAAGGAAAGGGAAATAGAAGGGAACTGCCAAGCGGATATTGAAGACAAAAGAGCTGCAAGGCAGGACCCTCCATTAGAAATGCTTGTAGAAGGACCCCTAGTATGGGGTAATCACATCCAGGAAACCAAGCCCCAGTACTCAGGAGGAGAAATAGAATAGGGAACCTCACAAGGACATAATTTCCTCCCCTCAGAATGGCTAGCCACCAAAGAAGAAAAAATACTTTTGCCTGCAGCTAACCAAAGGAAATTACTTAAAACTCTTCACCAAACCTTTCACTTAGAAATTGATAGCACACTTCACATGACCAAATTATTATTTACTGGACCAGGCCTTTTCAAAACTATCAAGCAGATAGTCAGGGCCTGTGAAGTGTGCCAAAGAAATAATCCCCTGCACTGCAGATTTCAATCATTGTATCTTTAACCTCTTTGTTAAGTTTGTCTCTTCCAGAATCGAAGCTGTGAAACTACAAATCATTCTTCAAATGGAGCCCCATATGCAGTCCATGACTAAGATCTACCACGGACCCGTGGACCAGCCTGCCAACCCATGATCCAATGTTCATAACATCGAAGCCACCCCTCCTGAGTAAATGTCAACTGCATGACCCCTACTATGCCCCAATTCAGCAGGAAGCCATTAGAGCAGTCGTTGGCCAACCTCCCCAACAGCACTTGGATTTTCCTGTTGAGAGGAGGCACTGAGAGACAGGACTAGCTGGATTTCCTAGGCCAACTAAGAATCCCTAAGCCTAGCTGGGAAGGTGACCACATCCACCTTTAAACACGGGGCTTGCAACTTAACTCACACCTGACCAGTCAGGTAGTAAAGAGAGCTCACTAAAATGCTAATTAGGCTAAAACAGGAGGTAAAGAAATAGCCAATCATCTATCGTCTGAGAGCACAGGGGGAGGGACAATGATCGGGATATAAACCCAGGCATTGGAGCGGACAATGGCTTCCCCCTTTGGGTCCCCTCCCTTTGTATGGGAGCTCTGTTTTCACTGTATTAATTACTATAAAGCTGTAGTAATAAACACATTGTGGTATTGGCATAAAGATAAACAAATAGAAAAATAGTGAATAAATAGACCCATACATACAAATAGACAATTTATCTTTGACAAAATTGCAAGGGCAATTCAGTGGAGACAGACATGTTTTCAAAAAATTGTGTCAGAACAATTGTATATCCATAAAAAAATCTAAATTGCAATTCATACCTCACGGCATTTATAAAAGTCAACACAAAATGGATTATAGACTAAATGTATACTGTAAAATCATAAAATAATCTAGCAGAAAATATTTAAAAAATTCTAATTTCAATTGGGCAAATATTTCCTAGATATGACATCAAAAGCACAATTCACAAAAGAGAAAACAATAAATTGGGCATCTGATTTTTGAATTGCATTGTGACCATTAGTTAAACACTGAGAAAATATTTGCAACACAATAAGAAATTGGAAAAATATTTGAACGGATAACTAACTGGAAAAATCCCCATATGCATGGCAAATAACAAGATGCAAGGTATTGTCATTAAATAAATGCAAATTAAAACCACAATGAGATGTCAACCCACACAAATTAAAATGTACAAAATTTGTAAAATTGGCCATACCAAATGTTGATTGCGATCTGCAAAAATAGAAAATCTCACGCATTGCTAGTGGGAATGTAAAATGGGACAACCACTTTGAAAATTTTTGTGTGAGTTTCTTAAAAATCAAATATACATCTTCAGTATGATCTAGCCTTTCCACCCCTAGATACTAATCCAATAAAAATAAAAGTATATGCCAATAAAGACTTTTACAAAAATGCCATGACAGTTTTATTTGTAATAGCTCCAAACTTTAAACATCCAATATGTCCATCAAGAGATAAATAAAGAAATTGTGGTATGTGCGTAAAATAGAAGTTATGGCTTGGATGTGTGCCCTTCAAAATTCTGGTATTTAAACATAATGGCCAATATGATAATATTAAGAGGTAGGGCCTATAAAAAGTGATTAGATTATATGGGATCCTTTTTTGTGCCTAGAATTAAGGCCCTTATAAAAGATGTTTCATGTGGCATTTGGCTCTCTTGTCCTTCTACCCTCCACCAAATTAGGACATAATGTTCATTCCCTCTAAATAATACAGTCATCTCCAGACAACTGAACCTTCCAGTGCCTTGGCCTTGGCCTTTGCAGCCTCCCAAACTGTGAGAAAATAATTATTTATTTTCTTTATAAACTAGCCAGTCAGTGGTATTTTTTTGTAGCAGCACAAATTGAACTAAGACAATGGCATATTACTTAATAACAAAAAGAATGAACAGTTGATACATGCAATAACACTGATAAATATCAAAAATGATTACACTGAGTAAAAGAAGCCAGGCAAAAAAGAAAACCTTTTCTTCAGTTGCATTTTTATGAATAATTTTTAAATATCAACAAATCTATAGAGACAGAAAGTTGATCAATGCTTGCCTGGGGGTGGTAAGAGAAGATAAGAAGAGATTGCAAAGAAGCATAAAAAACTATGAGGATAATAAATTTGTTCATGATCTTGATTGTAGTAACGTTTTCACAGGTAGTTACATATGCAAAAACTTATCAATCAGTACACCCTAAATATGTGTTGTTTATTGTAGTAAATAAATCAATACCATATATGTGGAAAATAACCTATATATGATCATCCATTTTCAATTCTAAGTGCCTTAATTTTAAGCAGGCTACATGGAAATAAAGAGAGAAAGAAGCAGAGTGTACCGAGTCACCACCCTCCCTCCTTCCTGCCTTCCTTTTCACCCAGCAGCCAGGCACCTATTGGTTGGGGCCCCCTCAACTACCCCTTCCCAACCCCACCAAAAAATTTAGTATAAGCTAGCTTGCAACATAGACAATTTTACCTTTTCTTACCAGCTAAGAGTAGCCACCAGAGCCATAAGTCAAATGTTTGAAGTGTCCTGAGACAGTTGTAATGCATTGTGGGCTATGATAAAATGCAGCAGAAAGACCCTAAAGAACGTACTTGAAGCCCCTGCCTAACAATCAATAGGTGACACTGGGAAAGATTGTGACACCATAGTACTCAGCCAATGAGAAACCAGGGGAAGGACCTATGCACTACGGGATAAATTGCTTGTTAAAACTGTGCTGGGTCAAGACAAGGATGCCCTCTCTAACCACTCCTATTCAACACAGTATTGGAAGTTCTGGCCAGGGCAATCAGGCAAGATAAATAAATAAAGTGTATTTAGATAAGAAGAGAGAACGTCAAATAGTCTCTGTTGGCGGATGACATGATTGTATATTTAGGAAACCCCATCATCTCAGCTCAAAATCTCCTTAAGCTGATAAGCAACTTCAGCAAACCTCAAGATGTTAAATGACGATTTACTGGGTTCAGCACACCGACATGGCACATGTATACATATGTAACTAACCTGCACATTGTGCACATGTCCCCTAAAACTTAAAGTATAATTAAAAAAAAAAGATACAGAATCAATGTGCAAAAATCACAAGCATTCCTATACACCAATAATAAACAAACAGAGAGCCAAATTATGAGTGAAATCTCATTCACAATTGCTACAAACAGAATAAAATACCTAAGATTTCAACTTATAAGGGATGTGAAGGACCTCTTCAAGGAGAACTACAAACCACTGCTCAATGAAATAAGAGAGGGCACAAAAAAATGGAAGAGCATTCCATGCTCATGGATAGGAAGAATCAATATTGTGAAAATGGCCATAGAGCCCAAAGTAGTGTATAGATTCAATGCTATCCCCATCAAGCTACCATTGACTTTCTTCACAGAATTAGAAAAAAAACCTACTTTAAATTTCATATGGAACCAAAAAGGAGCCTGCATAGCCAAGACAATCCTAAGCAGAAAGAACAAAGCTGGAGGCACCATGCAACCTGACTTCAAACAATACTACAAGCCTACAGTAACCAAAACAGCATGGTACTGGTACCAAAACAGATATATAGACCAATAAAACAGAATAGAGATCTCAGAAATAATGACACACATCTACAACAATCTGATATTTGACAAACCTGACAAAAACAAGCAATGCAGAAAGGATTCCCTATTTAATAAATGGTATTAGGAAAACTGGCTAGTTATATGCAGAAAACTGAAACTGGACCCCTTCCTTACACCTTACACAAAAAAATAACTCAAGATGGATTAAAGACTTAAATGTAAGAAATAAAACCATAAATACCCTAGAAGAAAACCGAGGCAATACCATTCAGGACATAGGCATGGGCAAAGACTTCATGACTAAAACACCCAAATCAATGGTAACAAAGGCGAAAATTGTCAAGTGGGATCTAATTAAACTAAAGAGCTTCTGCATAGCAAAAGACACTATCATCACAGTGAGCAGGCAACCTACAGCATGGGAGAAAATTTTTGCAATCCATCCATCTGACAAAGGGCTAATATCCAGAATCTACAAGGAACTTTAACAAATTTACAAGAAAAAGAACCCCATCAAAAAGTGGGCAAAGGATATAAACAGACACTTCTCAAAAGAAGACACTTATGCAGCCAACAAGCATGAAAAAAAGCTCATCATCACCGGTCATTAGAGAAATGCAAATGAAAATCACAGTGAGATACCGTCTCACACCAGTTAGAATGGCGATCACTAAAAAGTTCAGAAAAAATAGATGCTGGAGAGGATGCGGAAAAATAGGAACACTTTTACACTGTTGGTTGGAGAGTAAAGTAGTTCGACCATTGTGGGAGACAGTGTGGCGATTCCTCAAGGATCTAGAACCAGAAATACCGTTTGACCCAGCAATCCCATTACTGGGTATATACCCAAAGGATTATAAATCATTCTACTATAAAGACACATACACATGTATGTTTATTGCAGCACTATTCACAATAGCAAAAACTTGGAACCAACCCAAATGCCCATCAATGATAGACTGGATAAAGAAAATGTGGGACATATACACCATCGAATACTTCGCAGCCAAAAAAGAATGAGTTTATGTCCTTTGCAAGGACATGGATGAAACTGGAAATCAACATTCTCAGCAAACTAACACAGGAACAGAAAACCTAACATTGCATGTTCTCACTCGTAAGTGGGAGTTGAGCAATGAGAACACATGGACACAGGGAGGGGAACATCACACACCGGGGCCTGTCAGGGGGCGGGGGGCTAGGGGAGGGATAGCAGTAGGAGAAATACTTAATATATATATATATATATATATATATATATATATATATATATATATATATATATATATATATATATATATATCTCCTGGTTGTGGCTGCATTCCGGACACCAGATCTTGCAAGACCATCATTAAAAGTCTCACTTTCGCTGTTCTCTGGGTCTCTGAGTCCATTCTTGGGTTTGGATGGGTGAGTTTTTTTTTTTTTACAACTTGGTGGCCCATATGGAGATCTCTGTGCCTCCATTGATTGAAACTCCAGCTGAGAGGAGAGACACATCCCACTCAACTTATGTGGCCTGCTCTGTCTGGATGTCCCAGCTCCCTGCAGAAGCCAAAGACAAACCCGAAACCATTATTCAGAAGACAATGGAAGTGACACTGGGAGAAAAGCAGGCACTGTGGCAACCAGGCAACTTCGTGCACAAACCAAGGTATAAAAATTGGACCATAAGTACTGCCTTGGTGGTTGGGCATTTTTGCAGGTCGAGTGTGTGTGTGTCTGAGATGTATCCTAGATACGAAGTGAGTGCGGATGTCCAATCCGCGCTTTTAGTCTCCCTCAAGGGAAATGGCCGGAGATGGACCAAGCAGTTGATTCACTGGGTGTGCCAAAAACCTCCAGTAGGGAGGGTTGATTACACAGGGAAACTCAGAAACAGGGACCAGCAGAAAATGGGAAGCAAAAATTCTAGGCCTAGAGAACAAAGGAAGGAGGGAGCCAAGAAGGTCCCCTCCAACATCCTCCCAGATAGTCCATTGGGCAGGATGTTACAGGCTTTGGGGAATAATCCCCGAACCAGGGTTAAGGAAAAACAAAAGATGATAAAGTATTGCTGTTTTATCTGGCCTAAAGACCCCATTCATCAACTTTCTGTCTTTTGGCCTAAGTTTGGCTCGGACGAAGGTTGGGTATGCCAAGATTTAATTATGTATGTTAATGATAGAACCCCACTTTCACAAGAGGAAGTAAATTATGCTGTTTGCTAGATTAAGGAATTATCTTCCGTGTTATCCCTTAAAGAAAAATAAATGAACAACACTTACTCAGTAAGAAATCCTGGGACATCCTTTCTTGCCTGCCCACCCCCCATATCTCAGGCAAAATAGGAAACAGGAAAATCAGGGAACAATAGAAAAGTCATAAGGGGAGAGGCTGGAGGCCATGAGGAAACTAGACCATCTGTTCCTTTAAACCCTTATCCGAGTTTAAGAAAAGAGAACAATGCAAGAAGGATGCTAAAGCTTCCCTATCCCCTCTAAAGAGAAGATGTCTAATATGTTCCCCCTCAGGGAAGTCCCTATGTGACAGGGAGAAATTGGATTTGTTAATGCAAGTTTAACAAGTACTGAAGTCAGAAATTTAAAAAGGGAAATGAACCCACTCCTACAAGATCCCTTTGGGTTAGCAGAACAGTTGGATCAATTCTTGGGACCCAGTTTCTACACCCAGGCCAAAATGTCTATCGTGAATATTCTGTTTACTGGAGAAGAAAGGGGAATGATTAGGAGGGCAGCTATGACCATTTGGGAAAGGCAGCACCCTCTCAGACAGAAGTTCTGTCAGCTGAATAAAAATTTGCAAATGTTGATCTTGAATGGGATAATAATGATCCTAGATGTCATGCCCAAATGCAGGACCTCAGAGAGCTAATATTTAAAGGGATCAAATAGTCCACTTCTAGGACACACAATTTATCAAAGGCATTTGAAATTCAACAAGAAAAGGAGGAAACTCCCTTTGCATTCTTTCAGAGGCTTAAAGATCTGATGAGAAAATACTCTATATTACATCTGGAGGACCCAGTAGGACAGGGTCTTCTAAAGGTCAACTTTATGACCAAAAGCTGGACAGATATCACCAAAAAGTTACAAAAGATTTATAGCTGGAATAAAAAGTTGATTAAAGAGTTACTGAGGGAAGCTCAAAAGTTTTTTGTAAGAAGAAAGAAAAGAGAAACTGGGAAAGGGAGAAAGAGAAAAAGTAAGAAGGGAAATCTAAAAATAAAGGGGAAGAAACAGCAAACGTAGTGGGCCAGAGAGAGAAAGATAAAGAGTTAAGCTGCTAGGTAATAGGGATACTCATAATCTCAAAAACATATTTTCTTTATGTTGGGAAAATTTCTGTTCTTCTCTCTTAGGTATTTTGAACTATACAATATATTATTATTAACTATAGTCACTCTACTATACCATCAAACACTAGATCTTATTTTTTCTCTTTTTTACTATTATTATTTTTCTTAGTTGAGAAAAATAATCTCGACTCACTGTGTTGGGATCTCACTGTGTTGCCCAGGCTGGTTTTAAACTATTGCCTTCAAGCAATCCTCCCACTTTGGCCTCCCAAAGTTTTGGGATTACAGGGGTGAGCCACCACATCTAACCATATTCTTTCTATCTACCTGTATTTTTGTACCCATTAACCAACATCTCTTCATTCCCCCTGTTCCCTACACTTTCCAACCTATGATAATCACCAATCAACTCTGTATCTCAATGAGATCCACTATACTTTGCTCTGACATATGAGTGAAAACATGCAATATTTGTCTTTTCTGTACCTGGCTTAATTCACTTAACATAATGATCTTCAGTTCCAAACATGTTGCCACAAAAGACAAAATTTCATTCTTTTTATGCTGAATAATACTCCAGTGTATACATGTACTGCATTTTCTTTATCTATTCATCCATTGATAGACATTTAGGTTAAGTCCATATTTTGGCTCTTGTGAATAGTGCTGTAATAAAAATTGGAGTGTAGATAACTCTTCCATATATTGATTTCCTTTTTTAAAAAATATATACTCAGCAGTGGGTTTTTGGACCGTATGGTAGTCTTATTTTTAGTTTGTCAAGAAACCTCCATACTGTTTTCCATGGTGGCTTTACTAATTTACATTCCCACTAACAGTGTATGAGTGCTCCCTTTTCTCTACATCCTTCCCAGCATCCATTAATTTTGTCTTTTTGATAAAAGCCATCTTAACTGAGGTGAGTTGATATCTCATTGCAGTTTTGATTTGTGTTACCTGATGATTAGTAATGGTGAACATTTTTTCATATGCTTATTGGCATTTGTATATCTTCAAAGAACCATCTTTTTTAAAAATTTAACGTTTTATTATTTTTAATTTTTTGACTTTTGTTTAATTTTAAAATTGTTTCCTTTCTTCTACTTGCTTTAGACTTAAATTGCTCTTCTTAACATATTTTCCTAAGGTGGAAGTTTAGGTTATTAATTTTAGCTTATTCTTCTTTTGTAATACATGCATTAATGCTCTATATTTTCATTTCAGCACTACACTTTAGCCACATATCACAAATTTTGATATATTGTATTTTACTTTTTGTTTTGTTGAAAATATTCTTCAATTTTCCTGGAGACTTTCTCTTTCACGTAAATGTTCTGCTTAATTTCAAAATATGTGGGTTTTTAAAATCTCCATGCTATTGATTTTAGATTAATTATGTTATTTCCTGGTAACATACTTTGTATAATTTCTATTCTTCTAAATTTTTCAAGGTTTATTTTACAGCCCAGAATATGATGTATTTTTGTGAATGTTTTATATGCACTTGTGAAGAATGTGTATTCTGTTGTTGGAAGGTTGGTTTTTAAAGGTCAGTTGGGTCACATTGGAAGACTTTTGAAGGACATTTTCACTGGGAATGGAATACTAAGTTGATAATGTTTTTATTTCAACACTTAAAAAATGTATTCTTGTTTTTGTGGTTTCTAAAGAGAAGTCTGCTATGATTCTTATGCTTCTTTCTCTGTAAACAATGTGCCCCTATCCCTGGCTGACTGCAAAATTTTCTCCTTGCTTATAGTTTTTAGCAGTGTGAATATAATATGCCTATGGGTGTGTGTGTTTATATGCGTGTGTGTAATATGTTTTTGTTTTGTTTGTATTGCATTTATCCTGTTTGATGTTTTCTGAAATTCTTCAATTTGTAGTATTTGGTAGCTATTTTGGAAAATTATCAGCCATTTTTTAAAAATATTTTCTCTGTTCTTTTTGTTTTTCAATTGATGCAACTCAGTAATTTTTATTGCAACTGGAAGACAATACATCACAGAAACTTTATGGTAGGTCTGGGGAAAAGTGTTGTTTACAATAAATGATGGAATACTTTGTCTTTGGCAATATGATTACATACGAAGAATGCAAAATGCAGGTATGGATGCCTTCCAAGCAACACCATCAAGTCCCTAGAGTTTGGCTGATTGCACCTGCCTCCACATTGTTTGTTTAGGTTCACACAAATATAACGGAACATCACGTTCTTTCTCCTTTATGGTTCTCCCTTTCTATTCATGATATTTGCATCTTCATACAGAAATACAGAAAAAAATTGGCTTTTGAAAAATTATTACTCTCGTGTTAATTTGGCCATGTAGGTCTATTGGCCAGCCAAGGTCAGACGACCCTAAGCATCGATAGTAAAGCTCTTGGTCTTCTGATCGCTTTATCACATTTTTTCTTCTGTAAAACAAAACAAAACTCAGAAATGTTACAGAATCAGAGTATTAAAAAATGTACAAGTGTATATGCTTCCCAGACACACATGTATACATTTTTCCTCCACATTTTCACTATGGCAGTATTAAGTACTGAGTGTGAATGACACAGCATGAAACTGGTTACTGAATCAGCTATGAGTGCAGATGGCCTCAACATACATACTCAAGAAATGTTGCATGTTTAAATAACTGAGAGTGTGCTAAATCTCATCTAAAAAAAGGAGGAGAGGGGCTGGGGAACTCAGGCCACAGTCATGAAAGGATGAATACAATTTCTAGGTTTAATAGTTTCACCATATCAAAGTCTTCGAGAATCCACTATGGAATATCAATTATTTTGCAAAAGGTAGAGAAAGAAGTTTCAACTTTTTCAAATGAAATACAGTGGAAAAACACTGTTGCATATATTCCAACTAAATAGTCTTGATTTCAATGCTAACAAAACAACTGGAAGGGTACACATGAGCATCTCATGGTTAAGTCAGAAATGATCATTCACACAGGTCTGTTTTCAGAAGTACAACAGCAAGATGCCGCACCTTAGACACATTGGTTTTGGCTGTTAAAAGATGGATCATTTTAAAAACCGTGTTTTCCTTCCTTAATTTTTGTTCAGTGAAGCTAGCACTTGTTTGCTGAACTGTGGAAGAACTGCAAGGTCACACACATTATTCATGATAAAGCTACTGAGCTGACGAGTCTGTGCTTAATTCAAGAATAACCAGTAGGAGAGAGAGAAAACACTAGGAGTTAATCACCATCGCTGGTGTTCTCTCAAAGGAAGAGGGGTTAACAGATGAATTCACAAAGGTAGGCAGATCTGTACAGAACACTGAATGCCATGTGTAAATCCTCATGAAACTCCAGAAACAGGAACACCACAGAATGTATATACTTTGATTTACACATTCAGTTACAAAGGAAAAAAGACACCATTACAACTTTGTACTCTGTTAACTACAATATAAAACAAGTCCAGAGTTTGGCAGGTAACTAAAAGAGGGTTATCACTTAGGTTATATAGCAAAAGTGTTGATGTATATTATATATAGTAGTATAAATAATAAAAAGTATTATTTAAATTAGATCACAGTGCTGCATTATGTGCATAACAGTGTTTGATATAGTATTGGTGGGCTGGGACCTACGACACTAAGGACTTAACTGTCAACATTGGGAAGTCACAATCAAGAGGAAACACAGAGTTCCAATGTTTTCTTTTGGTAGCAAAAAAAAAATAAAATAAAAATCCTGAAGATGAAAGAAAAATACTTCTCTACAGAAACATAAAAATCAGTTGCAACATCTGGACAGCTGTGATCCACCAGAAAGAAATGACTCCCAACCTGAATTAAAAGGAAAGATAAATCACATGGAATTTAATCCAATCTCATCTAGAAAAGTTTCCCATTTAGGTCACTTGTACGTAACTCCAATTCCTTCTCCAAGAGCCCTTCCAGGAGAGGCGCAAGGCCCCTCGTCACAGAGTGGAATGAGTGGAACTTGCGTCAGTAGCCCTTGGCCTGGGCAGTCCTGGCGTGGTGCAGGACTCTGAGCTGGGCACAAAAGGCGTCCACCTGGTTCTCACTCTACAGAGCCCACTGCCTAATGCTGTCCCTCAGGCAGGAGCCTCCTTCAACACAGTGGCCCCTCCCAGAAGGCTCCGTGGTAGTAACTGCTGTGGCCAGCAAGCACTAGACACATTGATTGCCTCTGCAAAACAAAAGAAAACTCCATTCTTGAGAAAGGCCTCTGGCACATTCCTTCTTAAAAACTCCCAAGATAGAGACCTGCCACAGTCGTTTTGGCCATGGTTTTCTCCAACCACCAGTGAAATATGAGTTTGGTTCATTTTAGTTTCAGATAGATGGCTTCACCAAAGAACTCTTGAAAGAATACTGATTAGAGAGGGGCAGGGAAGTAGGAGCTTTTGTCTCTCTTCTCCTCGTAGGATTCTGATGACATGTACATTAGACCATTTATTATCCCACTGGGCTTGCATGTTCCGTACTATTTTCTTACTTTTTTCTCTCAGCATTCCTGTTTGGGGAATTTCTACTGACTCAACTTCAAGATTATTTATGTTTTTCTTAGCTGTAGTATGTCTACTGATGAGCCCAACCAAAACAATCTAATTTCTGTTATTGTGGGTTTTCTATTTGTTTTAACTTTTTAAAAGATGGTTGGGATACAGATTAACTTTCTTTTGTAAATAACTGTTTCACTTTGCCTGAAATAGGACATATATTCACTCTAATAAAACAGAATGGAAAGTCTCAATTCATGGGAGTTCCTGTACAAGGGGCTGATTCTGTGTTTGGAGCTGAGCTTCTCACAGCAGCTTTTTTTCAGTTATCTTATTATAGATGTGCTCTAACTGATATTCAATCCCCTCTTTCTCCAAGGGAATAAACCACTTTCACAAAGAGCTGCCCTATGTAGATCACACAGTTTTATAGCTTGCAACAAAGTGATTAGGGACAAATAAAAAAGCAAAAATAAGGAAACTAACACTGAAGCAATCCTACTTCTCATGTCTCTGAATAGAGAAGTAAGGTAATCTTTAACCAAAGGAAATAAAAATATGCAAGTTAACTACCTACTTTATTTACTGTTAGCTAAATTTGTTTACCTAAGGCTTTATCCCTTTGCAAACCAAAGATTTTTTTTTATTAATGCAGCTATGCTTGCTAATAAATAAAATGTATGTAGTTCCCAGGGATGCACTTCACTGGGTTTCTGCATTTGGCACCTGGTAGTGAAAAAAAGTATTATTTCCCAACAAATCATTACTGAAGACTAAGAATGAGAACTCCAACTAAAGAACATTATTCTCTCACCCCAGTAACATGTTGACCATATTTTCTCTACCCTCATATTAGAATAAATATATCTTTCCAGCTTTTCATCTCCTATATTCTATCTTTTCCTAGAAGATACTATCATTTCATATTTTACTGCAAGTTTAGAATATAGGTTAAGATTATAAAAATCCAATTTCACACTTGGTACTAAGAAAATTGAATGCTATAAAATTAATCCTCATTACTCTAGTAGGGATGCTGGTGCTTTTACAATGAGTCTTTACTGCCTATAAGTGATGCTGCCTCCAAGAAAACAGCTCTGCAGAAAGTTTTTTGGTTAGTGTTTTCCACAGCTTATTTCTGGAAGGAAAAAAGGCAATTTCATACAAAAACAAACAAACAAACCCAAAAAAGCTACATATGTTAATCTTGTCTTTAAACACCAAAAATATATATCTAAAGAGAACAGATGTAAGAAAAAGAGTCCAGGAACAGCCCATTAGGGACCAAATTCTGCAAATGGAAGTTTTGAAGCCCACTAACTAAAATTTTTTCTAGATCCAAATAAGTGCTACAATACCAGATTTTTAAGTCTCAACTCATAGAATTGAGAACCCTTAAGCTGTTAACTTTGTCCTGTGTCTTCCTATTAAAAAAATTACTCCTAAAATCTGTGCAAATGTTACTGAGACACACCTGCAGTATGTGACAACATGAGAGATGTTCTTAACTCTTTTATAAGGTGAAATTCACTTTCGATAACTGAAAATGAAAAAACAAAGTGCTATAGAGAGGAATAAAAGCTCATGAAAGTATTATACAAAAGCAGACTGGCTGAAATCTGTAACTTTATAAGTAAAAATTATAATACCAATAACCCCCTCTATAATTAACTACTCCACAGTGAATAATCTGGTACACATTTCTTGATAATGAATGACTCTAGTTTGCTACAGTCGAAGCCTGCCACAACTGCAAGGCCAGGGTTCTCCCCCTTTTCTTGTTCTTTGTGCACAAGGTGATGCCACCTACTACAAGGCAGTTATATAGACAGGTGAGTTTAGGGGAGCTTCTCACCCCAACCTGCTAACTCAGCAGCGGTAAGTTCACCCAAATGAGCTCTGACCTCCAATATGTATCTGTTCATAATTTTATGAAGTATCTAAATATTATTCATTAGTTTAAAAAATAATAGAACACTCTGGACCAAGTAAATTATGAAATTGAAAAGTTAGGAGGGATACAAATTATATTAACAACACTTTCTTTAAAAAATAGAATCAGTTTCTTTTGAAATCAACCACAGTGGTGAGATGTGTTTTTCTTTTCAGGTGCCCCATGATGGCACACAGCTTTACTCAGCAAATCCTGACAGCTTCCAAGTCCCAGGATACAAACTTGTACCAGCACATGGGGCAACATAACCTTTCAACAGTGTGGAAAAGAGCACATGTCACCACTAGGCAATGAGAGAGTTGACAGATACTCATGGCCTCTCAATAGCAGACATGGTTGGAGAGCTTTCCTCGTTCTTTTAGAAAAGTTCATGAGGAAGCTGTGATTAGGATCAGTCCAGAGAAGCAAAACTCTTTTATTTTCAGTGCCCAGACATCAGTCAATATACTGGGAGAATCAGTGGAAACCCTCACCATAATCTTGCCTCTTGAGCACACTGCACACAAACACTTCTATGGGGCAAGCATTCAACTTCTTCAGGGTCACATTCCCCTTTCCTGTGGTTTGTCCATAAAGCCCAGATATCTCACAGAGTTTTTCTTCCTTGAGTTCATCTGTTCTGTCAATTTTGTTTCCCAAAATACGAATTGGCACATTGTATACTGTTTCATCAGTCATTAAAGCTTTAAGCTCAAATTTGAATTCCACGAGGCAAGAATGATCCACACAATCCACCAGAAAGAAAATCCCATTAATTGCTGGGAGATAATTTTTCCAAACCGATGTGCTTGCTCGTGCCCACCAAGATTAAAAGTTGTAAAAGTCATTCCAGCAATTGTTAGCTCTTGTGATGTCAGATGTAGTGCTGGAATGTGTTGGCCCAATCTGTCACCTTTGAGCATGTGAAGAAGAGTGGTTTTGCCTGCATTGTCCAAACCCATGAATACAAGTTTTCTATATTTCTTCTAGAGTCCTAGAAACTAGATCACAAAGCTGAAGCCATTGTAGATTCACTCAAAGATGAAAGACATTATTAATGCTTACACTGGCCTGAGGGGCTCCTCTGTCAGTAGCGTGTGGCTCAGACTCTCCCTCAGAGCACACGAACCAGCAGCACCTGGGACCACTAGCTACTCACTGGATGTACATCACAAACCTCCCCCAAGACTTTCCTATTGTGATTTTTATTTCTGGCATTGCCATATTATTCTTTCTTTTTTATTGTATAAATTTAAGGTGTTGTTTTGATATACATATACATCATGAAATAATTACTACAGTCTTATTAACATATCCATTTTATTTTTACAAGAGAATTATCTGCCTGAAAATATCAATTATGCCAAAGCTGGGAACTACTGTGTTAAATGCTGTAACAGTAAAAGTAGATGACAAGCAAGATTATATCTGTACTTTCAGCAAAAAATGAAAACTGTAAGAATGAATAAATAAAATGCTGTCCTGCACCTTGCAGGACATTTAGCCTCGTCCTTGGCCCCTACCCACTAGATGCTAGTAAAACATCTCCCATTAAGGCAATGATAAATGTGTCCAGATATTGCCAAATATTTTCTGTGGGCAAAATTACCTGCTTTTGAGAACCAGTGATTACACATGTTAATTGCAGTTGTTTAAAATGTTTTAATGATAGTTCCAACAGCCATGTGATATCTGAGTCTGCTTTAGAAAGATTCTTTGTCTCTTCAGATTGTGTTTATTTCATGTTTTTTGGCATGCCACATAATTTTGTTGTTGAAAGATGACCATTTATAAGATAGTACATATAACTTCATTTTAAAAATACACTTCAAGATTAGCATGATTTTCCTTCTGCTGGGCCTTTTGTGTGGGGGTTTGTGTTGATCTAATCAGGAGTTGGGCTAGGATTGAAATTTGCCTAGTTGCTATGGTTGCTATGGTTACCAGAGTTGGAATTTGTTGCTATGGTTATCAGAGTTTGATTTTGTTGTTGTCATGCGCCTGAGATAATTCAAAATCCTCTAGTGATACTTTGTTTTTGTTTCTCTACTTGGCTTTGGATTTTTCTTTTGTTTTGCTTCCCATAGAGAGCTAGTCTCTTGCCATTTCTCCAGCTGTATTCCACTATAATATTTATTCAAAGTTTGTCAGCCTGATTAGGTAGAGGAAGAAAGGTGATCATTCTCTGATGTTCTTTTAAAACCTCAGTCTTAAGCAAGTATTTTGAACTTCAGTTTTAAGATATATTCTTCACAAGTATTACTATCCCTCCTCCAAATGGAGAAGCTTCCAGGAAGACGAGTATGGGTGCAGTTTTGGTGATGATCTCCATTCTTATTTATATTTTTATTTTATTTATTTATCTTTTATGAAACAGAGTTTCACTCTTGTTGCCCAGGCTGGAGTGCAATGGTGCAATCTCAGCTCACTGCAACCTCCACCTCCCAGGTTCAAGCAATTCTCCTGCCTCAGCCTCCTGAGTAGCTGGGATTACAGGCATGCGCCACCACAACCAGCTAATTTTGTATTTTTAGTAGAGATGGGGTTTCTCCATGTTGGTCAGGCTGGTGTCGAACTCCCTACCTCAGGTGATCCATCTGCCTTGGCCTCCCAAAGTGCTGGGATTACAGGCATGAGCCACCATAACTGGCCCAATTATTTCCATTCTTCTTACACAGGTGCAATGAAATTCTCCCAGTGCACTCCTGTGCAGATAAGGTATTTTCTTTAGTACAGATAGTAAAGATATATTAGTCTGGGTGGATTTTTGCAGTGGCTATTGTTCTTTTCCTCCAGCAAGAAATGAAAGAGTTTTCTTAGTATCTTCCTCAGTCTTCTGAATGGGATTCCTGGAGAAGTGGCCTAAAAAGTGATGGAAAACCACTTATGCCTGAAAACAGGATTCATTTTCTCATGCTACCCCACAATCAGCGTTTAACAGTTGGCTAAATATTTCTAACAAAATATTTAACCTTCCTATATCTTATATGGTATTCCGTGATATCTATTTTTAGTAGAAAATTATCCAGTTATGTTCCCTGCAGACACCTCTCTCCAGGTTTTAGGTTAGATGTCTGCATTTTGACATAACTTCTCCAATAGGTTCAAGAAAAGTTGCTAATTTCTATATCGTCTAGCATTTTTCTTACACAGATAAAAGTAATGCTCATCCTTCATCTCTATATCTTCTGGCAGAGATCAGAAACTACAGTTAATAAATATTTAAACTGATTTAATTACAAGTACCTTATATGTTTACCTAATCAGCTCATTTATGAGATCCATCATTCCTTGGTGTAGATATATTTTTCCCTGGTATCAGTTTCCTTCTGCTTAAAAAAGTTCATTTAACATTTTTGTAATGTACATCTGCTGATGATGAATTATTTTACCTTTTAAGATCTAAAAAAAAATTTGACCTTCATTTTTTGAAGGAAATGTTTTTGGTAAGTATACAATCTAGACTGAGTTTCTCTCTTTCAGTATTTGTATCAGTCAGGGTTCTCCAGAAAAACAGAACCAAGAGACTGACAGAGAGAGAGAGAAAGAGAGAGAGAGAGAGAGTGCAGGGGGGTAGAGAGAAAAAGAAAAGGAGCAATGGAGGGATAGAAGAAAAAAGGGAGGTAAAGAGGGAAAGGAAGAGAGCAGGGTGGGGTGTTGCCTCACCCAGGAAGCACAAGTGGTCAGGAAACTCCTTCCCCTAGTCAAGGGAAGGAGTGAGGAACTGTGCTGTGAGGAACTGTACATTACAGCACAAATACTACACTTTTCCCACATACTTCACAACCCAAAGTCCAGGAGATTACCTTGGGTGCCTACACCATCAGGTCCCTGGGTTTCAAGCACAAAACTCGGTGGCCAACTTGCCAGACACTGAGCTAGCGGCAGGAGTTTTTCTTCATACCCCAGTGGCACTTGGAATGCCATCGAGACAGAACCGTTCACTCTTCTGGAAAGATGGCTAAAGCCAGAGAGCCACTTGGTCTAGGTCAGTGGATCCCACCCCCACAGAGACCAGCAAGCTAATATCCACAGGCGTGAAATTCTCGTTGCCAGCAGAGCAGTCTGAAGTCAACTTGGGACACTCAAGTTTGGTTGAGGGGAGGGGCATCTGCCATTACTGAGGCTTGAGTAGGTGGTTTTCCCCTCACAGTATAAACAAAGCTTCTGGGAAGTTCAAACTGGGCAGAGCCCACCACAGTTTGGCAAAGCTGCTGAAGCCACACTGCCTCTCAAGATCCCTCCTCTCCATGTAGGGCATGTCTGAAAGAAAGGCAGCAGCTTGAGTCAGGGATTTATTGCTAAAACTCCCAACTCCCTGGGATAGAGCACCTGGGGGAAGGGGCAGCTGTGGGCACAGCTTCAGCATTCTTAAGCATTCCTGCCTTCCAGCTCTGATGAGAGCAACAGATCTCTCAGCAGAGCACTCAAGCTCTGCTAAGGGACAGACTGCCTCCTCAAATGGGTCCCTGACCCCCGTGCCTCCTGACTGGGAGACACCTCCCAGCAGGGGTTGACAGACACCTCATACAGGACAGCTCCAGCTGGCATCTGGCGGGTACCCTCTGGGATGAAGCTTCCAGAGAAAAGAATAGGTAGTGATCTTTGTCAATCTGCAGCCTCTGGTGGTGATACCCAGGCAAACAGAGTCTGGAGTGGACCTCCAGCAAATTCCAGCAGACCTGCAGCAGAAGGATCTGACTGTTAGAAGAAAAACTAACAGACAGGAAGGAAAAACATCAACATCAACAAAAAGGACATCCACAGAAAAACCCCATCTGAAGGTCACCAATATCAAAAACCATAGGTAGATAAATCCACAAAGATGAGAAAAAAAAAACAGTGTAAAAAGACTGAAAATTCCAAAAAACAGAAAGGCTCTTCTGCTCCAAAGAATCACAACTCCTTGCCAGCAAGGGAACAAAACTGGACAGAGAATGAGTTTGATGAATTGGCAGAAGTAGGCTTCAGAAGGTGGGTAATAACAAACTCCTCTGAGCTCAAGGAGCATCTTCTAACCTACTGCAAGAAAGCTAAGAACCTTGAAAGAAGGTTAGAAAAATTGCTAACTAAAACAACCAGTGTAGAGAACATAAATGACCTGATGGAGCTGAAAAACACAGCATGAGAACTTCGTCAAGTATACACAAGTATCAATAGCCAAATCAATCAGGTGGAAAAAAGGACATCAGATATTGAAGATCAACTTAATGAAATAAAGCGTGAAGACACGATTAGAGAAAAAAAGAATGAAAATGTACAAACAAAGCCTCCAAGAAATATGGGACTATGTGAAAAGACCAAACCTACATTTGACTGGTGTACCTGAAAGTGACGGGGAGAATAAAACCAAGTTGGAAAACACTCTTCAGGATATTATCCAGGAGAACGTCCCAAACCTAGCCAGATATGTCAACATTCAAATTCAGGAAATACAGAGAACACCACAAATATATTCCTCGAGAAGAGTAACCCCAAGACACATAATCATCAGACTAACCAAGGTTGAAATGAAGGAAAAAAGGGCAGCCAGAGAGAAGGGTCGGATTACCCATAAAGGGAAGCCCATCAGGTGAACAGCAGATCTCTCTGCAGAAGCTCTACAAGCTAGAAGAGAGTGGGGGTCAAAATTCAACATTCTCTAAGAAAAGAATTTTCAACCCAGAAATTCTTATTCAGCCAAACTGGCTTCATAATTGAAGGAGAAAGAAAATCCCTTACAGAGAAGCAAATGCTGAGAGATTTTGTCACCTCCAGGCCTGCCTGCAGGAGCTCCTAAAGAAAGCACTAAATATGAAAAGGAAAAACTGGTACCAGCCACTGCAAAAACATACCAAATTGTAAAGATCATCAACACTATGAAGAAACTGCATCAACTAACGAGCAAAATAACCAGCTAGCATCATGACGAAAGGATCAAATACACACATGACAATATTAACCTTAAATATAAATGGACTAAATGCCCCAACTAAAAGACACAGACTGGCAAATTGGATAGAAGCAAGACTCATCCATGTGCTGTATTCAGGAGACCAATCCCATGTGCAAAGACACACACAGACTCAAAATAAAGAAATGGAGGAATACTTACCAAGCAGTTAGAAAGCAAAAAAAAGCAGGGGTTGCAATCTTAGTCTCTGATAAAAAGACTTTAAATAACAAAGATCAAAAAAGGCAAAGAAGGGCATTACATAATGGTAAAGGGATCAACACAACAAGAAGAGCTAAGTACCCTAAATATACATGCATCCAATACAGAAGCATCCAGATTCATAAAGCATGTTCTTAGAGACTTACAAAGAGACTCAGACTGCCACCCAATAATAGTGGGAGATTTTAATACCACACTGTCAATATTAGACAGATGAACAAGACAGAAAATTATCAAGGATATTCAGGACTTGAAATCAGCTTTTGACCAAGCAAACATAATAGACATCTACAAAATTCTCCACCCCAAATCAACAGAATATACATTCTTCTCAGCACCACATCACACTTATTCTAAAATTGACCACATAATTGGAAGTAAAACACTCCTCAGTCAATGGAAAAGAATGGAAATAATAACAAATAGTCTCTCGGACCACACTGCAATTAAACTAGAACTCAGGATTAACAAAGTCACCCAAAACCACACAACTACATGGAAACTGAACAACCTGCTCTTGCATGACAACTGGGTAAATAACAAAATGAAGGCAGAAATAAATAAGTTCTTTGAAACCAATGAGAACAAAGACACAACGTATCAGAATTTTTGGAACACAGCTAAAGCAGTGTCTAGAGGGTAATTTATAGCACTAAATACCCACAGAAAAAAGTGGGAAAGATCTAAAATCGACACCCTACATCACAATTAAAAGAACTAGAGAAGCAAGAGCAAACAAATTCAAAAGCTTGCAGAAGACAAGAAATAACTAAGATCAGAGCAGAATTGAAGGAGATAGAGACACGAAAAAGTCTTTAAAAAATCAATGAATCCAGGGGCTCATTTTTTGAAAATGTTAACAAAATAGATAGGCAGTTAACCAGACTAATAAAGAAGAAAAGAGGGAGAATCAAATAGAAACAATAAACAATGATAAAAAGGATATTACCACTGATCCCACAGAAATGCAAACTACCATCAGAGAATATTATAAACACCTCTATGCAAATAAACTAGAAAATCTAGAAGAAATGAATAAATTCCTCGACACATACACCCTCCCAAGACTAAACCAGGAAGATGTCAAATCCCTGAATAGACCAATAACACGTTCTGAAATTGAGGAAGTAATTAATAGCCTATCAAACAAAAAAAGCCCAGGACCAGACAAATTCACAGCCGAATTCTACCAAAGGTACAAAGAGGAGCTGGTACCATTGTTCTGAAACTATTTTAAACAACAAAAAAGAGGGACTGCTCCCTAACTCATTTTATGAGGCCAGCATCATCCTGATAAGAAAACTTGGCAGAGACACAACAAAAAAAGAAAATGTCAGGCCAATATCCTTGATGAACATTGATGCAAAAATCTTCAATAAAATACTGGCAAACTGATTCCAGCAGCACATTAAAAAGCTTGTCCACCACTATCAAGTTGGCATCATCCCTGAGATGCAAGGCTGGTGCAACATATGCAAATCAATACATGTAATCCATCACATAAAAAGAACCACTAACAAAAACCGTATGATTATCTCAATACACACAGAGAAGGCCTTCAGTACAATTCAACAGCCCTTCTAAAGACTCTCGATAAACTAGGTATTTATAGAACATATCTCAAAATAATAAGAGCTATTTATGATGAACCCACAGCAAATATAATACTGAATGGGCAAAAGCTAGAAGCATTCCTTTTAAAAAGTGACGCAAGACAAGGATGCCCTCTCTCACCACTCCTATTCAACATAGTGTTGGAAGTTCTGGCCAGGGCAATCAGGCAAGAAAAAGAAATAAAGAATATTCAAATAGGAAGAGAGGAAGTCAAATTGTCTCTGTTTGCAAATGATATGACTGCATGTTTAGAAAACCCCATCGTCTCGGTCCCCAAACTCCTTAAGCTGCTAAGCAACTTCAGCAACGTCTCAGGATACAAAATCAATGTGCAAAACTCACAGGCATTCCTATACACCAATAACAGACAAACAGAGAGTCAAATCATGAGTGAACTTTCATTCACAATTGCTACAAATACAATAAAATACCTAGGAATACAACTTATAAAGGATGTGAAGGACCTCTTCAAGGAGAACTACAAACAACTGCACCAGGAAATAAGAGAAAACACAAACAAATAGAAAAACATTTTATGCTCATCGATAGGAAGAATCAATATTGTGAAAATGGCCATACTGCCCAAAGCAATTTATAGATCCAATGCTATTCCCATTGAGCTACCATTGACTTTCTTCACAGAATTGGGAAAAACTACTTTAAATTTCATATGGAACCAAAAAAGACCTCGTATAGCCAAGACAATCCTAAGCAAAAAGTACAAAACTTGAGGCATCGTGCTACCTGATTTCAAACTATATTACAGGGCTACAGTAACAAAAACAGGATGGTACTGCTACCAAAACAGATATATAGACCAATGGAATAAAACAGAGGCCTCTGAAATAATGCCGGACATTTACAACCATCTGATCTTTGACAAACCTGACAAAAAATAAAAAGCAATGGCAAAAGGATCTCCTATTTAATATATGGTGCTGGGAGAACTGGCTAGCCATATGCAGAAAACTGAAACTGGACCCCTTCCTTATACCTTATACAAAAATTAACTCAAGATTGATTAAAGACTTAAATGTAATACCTAAACCCATAAAAGAAAACCTAGGCAATACTATTCAGGACAGAGGCATGGGCAAAGACTTCATAAGTAGGACACCAAAAGCAATGGCAATGGAAGCCAAAATTGACAAATGGGATCTAATTACACTAAAGAGGTTCTGCACAGCAAAAGAAACTATCATCAGAGTGAACAGGCAATCTACAGAATAGGGAAAATATTTTGCAATCTATCCATCTGTCAAAGGGCTAATATCCAGAACCTACAAAGAACTTAAACAAATTTACAAGAGAAAAACAACCCAATCAAAAAGTGGGCAAAGAATATGAACAGACGTTTCTTAAAAGAAGACATTTATATGGCCAACAAATATATGACAAAAAGCTCATCATCACTGGTCATTAGAGAAATGCAAATCAAAACCACAATGAGATACCATCCCATGCCAGTTAGAATGGTGATCATTAAAAGTCATGAAACAACAGATGCTGGAGTGGATATGGAGAAGTAGGAACGCTTTTACACTGTTGGTGGGATTATAAATTTGTTCAACCATTGTAGAAGACAGTGTGGTGGTTCCTCAAGGATCTAGAACCAGAAATACAATTTGACCCAGCAATCCCATTACTGGGTATATACCCAAAGGATTATAAATCATTCTACTGTAAAGACACATGCACACATACGTTTATTGCAGCACTATTGACAACAGCAAAGATTTGGAACCAACCCAAATGCCCATCAATGATCAAATGGATAAAGAAAGTGTGGCCCATATACACCATGGAATACTATACAGCCATAAAAAGGGATGAGTTTAGGTCCTTTTCAGGGACAAGGATGAAGCTGGAAACCATCATTCTCAGCAAACTAAGACAGGAACAGAAAACCAAATACTGCATGTTCTCACTAATAAGTGGGAGTTGAACAATGAGAACATATGGACACAAGGAGGGGAAGATCACACACTGGGGTCTGTTGGAGGGTGGGGGGCTAGGGAGTGGATAACATTAGGAGAAATACCTAATGTAGATGATGGGTTGATGGGTGCAGCAAACCACCGTGGCACCTGTATACCTATGTAACAAACCTGCACGTTCTGCACATGTATCCCAGAACTTAAAGTATAATTTTAAAAAGTTGAAATAAAAAGGAAAGATGTTTGCTCACATGATTGGGGATTCTGGCAAGTGCAAAATCTGTAGAGTAGGATAGCAGGCTGGAATCCCATAGAAGAGCTAATGTTGCAAATTTCGTCAAGGGTTAGTCAGGCTGGAAACCAAGGGAAGGGTCATTGTTACCGTTTAAGTCCAAAGGCAATCTGTTGGCACAATTTATTCTGGCTGGGGGAGGTCAGTCATTGTTCTGTAAAGGCATTCAGTTGATTGGAGGAGGTACAGCACGTTATGGAAGGCAAACTTCTTCGTTCAAAGTTTACTAATTTAAATCTTAATATTACCCTCACAGAAACACCTAGAATAATGTTTAACCAATTGTCTTGGCATCATGGCCCAGCCAAGTTAACATATAAAATTAACCATCAAAATCTTTTAAAAATATTGATGCACGATCTTCTTGTTTGCATTGTTTCCAATGACAAATCTACTGTCATCCTCGAATTTGTTCTTCTAAATGTAACAGGTATTTTTGTCTGGATGCTATTAAGATTTTTTTTTCCACTTGTTTTGAACAATATGATTAAGGCATGCCTTAATATATTGTTCTTTATGTTCCTTGTACTTAGGGTTTATTGAGATTCTTGTGTCTATTTTCATCTAATTTGGAAAATTTTGGCAATTATTCTTCAAATTTTTTTCCATTTCCTTCTCTATTTCTTCTTGAATTCCAGTTGCATGTGTGTTAGCCCTACTAGAGCTGTCCTTCAGCTTATTGGTGCTTTGTTATTATTTTTTTTACTATAATTTCTGTTTAATTTTGGATAGTTTACAGTGGTTTATCATCAACTTCACTTATCTTTTCTTCTGAAATATATACTCTGCTATTAATTCCATACAATGTATTTTTCATTTTGTTCATTGTAGTTTTCATCTTTAGAAGTTTGAATTGGGTTGTTTCTATAATTTTCTTTAGCGCTACTTAACATTTTTAACATATACAATATGAGCCTTTCGATCTTTCATGCTAGTCCAAGCCACTATTCTTGTTAGTGGTCTCCAGGCATCCAGAGTATTACAGATCTCATCAGCACTCTGAAACAAGTGGAAAAGAAGCTAATCCCTTGGGTAGTTCCTGAAGTTGTAACTCTGAGGGAGAAACTAAAAGCTGAAGCTTATTACTCACTTGCTCTACACTTGAGCCAGAGAGACAAGCTTTGGTGGGTGCCCAGGTGCTAATTCAAACTGCTACTTTGTTCTCAGTAGCCCGCAGGTCACTATAGTTTGGCAAACTTTAACAGCTCTCTATACATGGAAGATAAGCCAGTTCCTAAGGTAGCAATCAGAGAAGTTGGGATGTTAGATGTGCAAACTACCTCCTTTGCTCCTTAGGAAGAAGATGGGATTTCCGGATTCCCTTCTGATCATCCAGTGCTATGCCAGGATGAGGATTTTGGCAAAATGGTGTCACTGCCTTTTTTTAAACTAGTTTTGATATTGCTGATTTTGCACTTTCCTGGGATGCAGGAGCCTCTTAGCTAGTTTCTAGATTTCTCACAAAGAACTGATCCATGTGTCTTTGTTGAAATGGTGTCTATGGGGTGAAGGAGAATTCAGGGTTTTCTATTCTACCATCCTGGTAACGGTCTTAGATGTTAGACTTTTTTTTATTCCCATATTCTTGAGATTTTCTCTGTGATGTGATTAAGTTAAACAGAAATAGTTTTTGAGCCTTTTTGGTTCCATTTTTGTAATCAGGGAGTAGAGCAGTATTTAGTCTACAGATAATTATTCCCCAGTATTGAAACCAGACCTTTCTCAGTACCTTATCAGTATCCTATGTATGTGATTTTCTAGTCTAAATGATTGGAAGAGGCGCTACTTATGAGTGAGTTCTGGGTCTTCTTCCCTCAGCTTCTTCCATGTGGTTCTTTCTCCTGTTTGGGTGCTTTTCTCACATTCAAGCATTAATCAGTAACCTGCTGCAAGTTTGAGTGGCAGTCTTTGTTAATACTCTCCCTCTCTCTAATGAGCTCTCTTTTCTCCTTTAAGTTTAGACTCTAGTTGCTGTGGTTTTCTTCAACTCTCGGCTTTATTTCCTCAACTCTGGGAGCCTATGGCTCCCTTTCCTGCATTGAGTTCTGGAGACTATCACGTAAGTAATCTGATGCAATTACAAGACTCATCTTGTTTGCATCATGATTCTCAGATATCACTGTCCTTCACTGCCTGATTTTTTGAACTGCTGCTTCATATATTTTGTCTTTTAAAAAATTGTTTCAGGTAGAAAGACAAAGCTGCTCCCTGATATTCCATTTTGCACAGAAACACAAGTCTTCTTATAAATGGATTCTTTGTGTATATTAGAATCAAATATAAGCCAGTTTAGACAGCTGGATCTTCCCACACTGACAGCTCAGAGGAGGTAACAAATCCACCCCAATCTGCCAACAGAAGCAGTACCTGCAGAACAGGTGGAAAGGGGTACAACCCATCCTTCAGTCAGCAGCAGTGAGACAATCCAACTGTGATATTCAAAATAATCAAACCCAGCACTTTCTCTAACTATGGCCACTGGCAGCTGTAAGCAATCTGTCTACAGAATTGGCAACAGAGCAATAAGGACTATGAACATAACCCATGTGTCAAATAGCAGGCAGGCTTCTCTAAAGCCAGTGGTGCCCAGTGTCTCACAAATTTCCACCCAGTGGCAGATAGCCACTTAGGCCCAGAAGCTCCTGGCTTCCACAAATTGGCAGAGAGAGATACAAGAAATGTATTCTCTGGACCTGCACCAAATGGGAGAAGGGAACCATGCCAACCAATTCTTGGCCCTCTACCCAGCAGTAGGAGGTAAATAAGGCACATGGACTCTTGAACCTCCACCAACAAGACCCTGGAACTTTTGGTCCTCCACTCATCAAAAAGTATGTTACAGATAGGTGCTTTCCATACCTGGTGCCACTAGTGGAGATACAGTGAGAAGCCTACTGGAATTGGGTGGTTGGAAAACAGGCCAGTAGAAATGATTTCTATGTGCTAGGAATGGCATCCTCTACCCTCAACTAACACCAATATCCCTGGGAAGAATCTTGCATTCCCATAGGTGGCACCAGCATGAATAAACCAGGACATCAAGCAGAAACAGAATGAAGCAGATCATAACAATATTGAAAAGGTTTAGAAAACTAATTTGTCATTATAAATACAGCCCACAAAAGTAGCCAGAACCTATGCTATACCACTAGAAGCTAGGTGACAGTTATGAAAGATTCTCTCTCACAGCCTTCAGAAGAAACTAGTCCTGCCAACATATTGGACTTCTAACCATCAGAACTATGAGGCAATAAATTTCTGTTGTTTAAACCACCCATTGTGTGGTCCTTTGTTATGGCAACCATGGAAAACTACTACACAACATTCATGAGAAAAGATAATCAACTGTTGCTAACAGCAATATAAATCAAATGTAAAAATTATCTGACAAAATTTTTTTAGAAACAAATTTATTGAAATATAATTCATATTAAAATTGACCCATTTGAAATGTGCAGGCCAATGATCTTTAGTATATTCATAAGGTTGTAAGATCATCACCACAATCTAATTTCAGAGCATTCCACTCCTTCCCCCCAAAAATCTACATCTATGAGCAGTCAGTCGCTTAACCATCCAACTTCTGGCCTAAGAAATTACTAATCTACATTCTGCTCCAATCAATTTGCCTATTCTGGGAAGTTCATATACATGAAATTATACAATAAGGAAATAATAATAAAAGAAAGACAGTATTGGGACTTCTGTTTCAAAATGGTGAGCTAGAAGCAATCTGGCATTACACCTCCCCACCTCCCCAAAGAAAACAAAAAACAAATATACAGCATCAAAATTATCACCAAATGTATTAGATCATTCTCACACTGCTATAAAGAAATCCTGAGACAGGGTAATTTTCAAAGAAAAGAGGTTTAATGGGCTTCTGGTTTGGCAGGCTGTACAGAAAGTATGGCAGCATCTGCTTCCGGGGAGTCTTCAGCAAGCTTTCAATAATAGTGGAAGATAAAGGGAGAGTGAGGCACTTCACATGACTGGATCAGGAGAGACAGGGGGAGGTGCTACACACTTTTAAACAAACAGATCTCACAAGATCTAACTATCACGAGAACAGCACCCGTGGGGATTGTGTTAAATCATTCATGAGAAGCCACCCCTGAGTCAACCACCTCCTACCAGGACCCACCTCCAACACTGGGGATTACAATTTAACATGAGATCTCAGTGGACCACAGATCCAAACCATATCATCCTTCTCGGCCCCTCCCAAATTTCATGTCCTTCTCACATGGAAAAATATAATCATGCCTTCCCAACAGTCTCCCGAAGTCTTAACTCATTCCAGTATTAACTCAAAAGTACAGAGTCCAAAGTCTTATCTGAGACAAGGCTACTCGCTTCTGTCTATGAGCCTCTAAAACCAAAAAAGAAGTTAGTTATTTCCAAGATACAATGGGGATACAAGCATTGGGTAAATATTGCCATTCTTAAAGAGAGAAATCTAACAGAAGAAAGGGCCTATGTGCCCCATACAAGTCTGAAACCCAGCAGAGCAGTCATTAAATCTTATAACTCCAAAATAATCTCCTTTGATTCCATGACTCACATCCAGGGCACACTTGTGCAAGGGGTGGGCTCCCAAGGCCTTGGGCACCTCCACCCCTGTGGCTTTGCAGGGTTCATCCACCACAGCTGCTCTCAAGGGCTGATGTTGAGTGCCTGTAGCTTTTCCAGATGCAGGGTGCAAGCTGCCAGCTGATGTACCATTCTGGGTTCTGGATAGTGGCCCTCTTCTCACAATTCAATAACACAGTGCCTCAGTGGGGACTCTGTGTAAGGGCACCAACCCCACATTTCCCCACCACACTGCCCTAGTAGAGATTTTTCATGATATCTCCACCTCTACAGCAGGCTTCTGCCTGGATATTTTAGCTTTTCCATACTTCATCTAAAATCTAGGCAGAGGCTTCCAAGCTTCAACTCTTTCACTCTGTGCACCCACAGACTTAACACCACATGGAAGCTGCCAAAGCTTATAGCTTACACTCTGAAGCTGTGGCCTGAGTTGTACTTGAACTTATTTTAGCCACAGCTGGAGATGGAGGGATAGGGATACAGGGAGCAGTGTCCTGAGGTTCCACAGGGCAGTGGGGCCCTGATATTGGTCCATGAAACCATTCTGTGCTCCTAAGACTCTGGGCCTGTGAAGGAAGGGGCTGCCACAAAGGTCTCTAAAATGCCTTCTAGACGTTCTTCTCATTGTCTTGGCTACTCATACTTGGCTCCTTTTTACTTATGCAAATTTCTGCAGGATGTCTGAATTCCTCCCCTAAAAACGGGCTTTTCTATTCTACCACATGGCCAGGCTGCTAATTTTCCAAACCCTAATGCACAGTTTCCCTTTTAAATATAAGTTCCAGGTTTAGGTCATTTCTTTGCTCATGCAAATGACCATAAATTGACAGAAGCAGTCAGGTCAGATCTTGAACATGCTTTGCTGCTTAGAAATTTTTTCTGCCAGAAACCCCAAATTATCACCCTCAAGTTCATAGTTTCACAGATCCCTAGAGAAGGGGCACAATGCAGCCAACCTCTTTGCTAATGCGTAACAAAATGACCTTTGCTTCAGTTCCCAATAAGTACTTCATTTCCATCTGAGACCTCCTCAGCCTGGCCTTCATTGTCCATATCAATAAAGCCAGCATTAACTACCAGTATTTTGGTCATAAGCATTCCAGCAGTCTCTAGGAAGTTTCAAACTTTCCCTCATCTTCCTATTATCTTCTGGGCACATTTTTTTATTAACTCCACAATTTTTCAACCTCTGCTCATTAACCAGTTCTAAAGCTGCTTCCACATTTTCAGGTATCTTTATATGCCCCACTCCTCTCTACCAATTTTCTGTATGAATTCATTCTCATAGTGCTATAAAAAGTACTGTAGACTGGGTAGTTTGTAAAGAAAAGAAGTTTAATTGGCTCATGGTTATGAAGGCATTACAGAATCTATGACAGCATCTGCTTCTGGGGAGGCCTCAGGGAGCTTTCAACTATGGCTGAAGGAAAAGAAGGAACGAGGTATTTCACATGGTCAGAGCAGAAGAAAGAGAGAGGGGGTAGGGAGGTGCTAAACACTTTTAAACAACCAGATCACATGAGAATTCACTTACTATTATGAGAACAGAACCCAAGGGGATGGTGTTAAACCATTCATAAAAAATTACCCCCATGATTTAATCACCTCACACCAGAACCCAACTCCAACGTTGAGAATTACAATTCAACATGAAATATGGGTTGAGACACAAATCCAAATCATATTACCAAGAATATCCCAGAACACAAATATTAGAATGAGATAGTTCCCAGGGACACAAAGGTGTAAAGAAAACTCTGAGCAGACAGTAAGAAAATTGAACTTTCACATCTGAAATGCCTCTCTACCATTCTGCATGTCATCAACCATGCAAAAAATTTCCCCCAATTCAAATTCCTACACTAAAAAAGTGAGGTTGAGGTAGAAAACCAGTTTCCCCTGCCATCTTGGGTTCCCTGGCAGAAGACCTGTTCCTGCCTTAATCCATGGAAAGCATTCCAACAGCCTGAAAAAAGAAACATCCCTTAGTACAGGCAAAGAAAAGAGGAGTAGGCAGAACAACTATCCCCAGCCTTGGAAGTTCCTCTCTGAATGCTAACCAAAAATTATGCCAAATCAGAGTGGCTATTTAGCAGCACCACATTGCAAGAGGTATGTGCCACAGGTCCCTGGGCATGAACCTCTAGCCAGTCTTCCCACACTGTCAGGACATTCTCTTTAAGAACTCTCCCACTGTGGGATGGGCAGCACTCTAATTGTTTACTAGGGCCAAGATCAACTTTGGTTTAAGGTGCCACCTAGAGCTTCAAAGGAGGCAGCAACCTAGCAGTAAAAAAACCCTAAGCAAAATATCTAATAAAAAAAAAGCTAGACAGGGAAGACTGGAACCAATAATTCCTCAATGCAAAGACATAGAAATATATCCACAAGAAACAACAGCAAACGGGGAGCCATGACCTCAAATCAACAAAGAAAGCAACAACTGACTGACCCTAACAATGCAGTAATATGTGAGATCTCTGGTCAAGAATTCAAAAGAGCAATTTTAAGTAAACTCAATTATCTCAAAGATAACAGAGAAGCAATTTATAAATTTGTGAGATAAATTTTACAAATAAATTAAAATAATTTAAGAAAATCAAACAAAAATAATGAAACTAAAAAATACATTCATTAAACTGAAAATTCATTACAGGCTGTCAACAGAAGTATGTATTAAGCAGAGGAAAGAATCATTGAGCTTTAAAACAGGCTACTTGAAAATACACATTCAGAGGAGAAAAAGGAAAAAATAATAAAAAAGAATGAAGACTTACCTGCAAGACATAGAAAATTACCTCAAAGACAAAATCTAAGAATTAATGGTGTTCAAAGAGAGTTGAGCAAGAGAAAAAGGTAAAAAGCCGATTCAAAAAAATTAACAGAAAACCTTTTAAAATGAGAGAAAAAGATAAATATCCAGGTACATGAAGGTCAGAGAACACTAAACAGGTTTCACTCAAATAACACTACCCCAATGCATATATCAAATACCCAAAGTCAAGGTCAAAGAGAGGCTCCTAAAAGCAGCCAGAGAAAATTAAAAAAAGAGCTCCAATTCATCAGGCAACAGACTTCTCAATGGAAACCATACAGACCCGGAGGGAGCGAAATGAAATTTTCAAAGTGATAATAGAAAACCCTGCCATCAAAACTACTGCATCCAGGAATGCTGTCCTTCAAATATATAGGAGAGATAAAGTATTTCTCAGTGAAACAAAAGCTGAGACAATTCACCATCACGAGACCCATCTTAGAAAAAAAATGCTAAAGAAATTTCTTCAATCTAAAATACAAAGAAACCACTAATGTGCAAAAAGAAAACACTGAAAATATAAAACTCACTGGTAAAATTAAGTACCTGGACAAACCCAAAATACTCAATTACTATAATTTTGGTGTGCAATCTGCTCATAACTCTAGTATAAAGCCAAAAGAAAAATCTATCAAAAACAATAATAGCCACAGTAAACTGTTAAGATATAGGCAATATAAAAATATATAAATTGAGACAACTAAAAAAATAAAATGGAGGAAAGAATGGAATTAAAGTAAATACTTTTCATGTCTGTTTCTATAATTTTCTTTCTGATATAAGTTACTATCTCTTTAGAATAACATGCTACAGCCATAAATGTTTGGTAAGCTACCTGGAAACCAAAACGAAATACCTATAACAGGTTTACTTCAAAAAGCAATGAATTAAATCATAGTACCAGATACAATCGCTTAACCACAAAAGAAAACAGCAAGAAAAAAGACAGAAAGATGAGTTACAAATCAACCAGAAAATAAGCCAAAAAATTGTAGTAGTAAAAGTCCTTACTTATCAGTAATAACACTGAAAAAAATGGACTCAATTTTCCTATTAAAAATACAGTGGCTAAATGGATAAAGAAACAAGAACCAATTATATGCTGCCTACAGGAACAACACTTCACCTATAGACATATGTAGACATCAGTTAATAAGCCAAACTGACATTTAGAGAATATTTCACATCATTGCTGCAAAATACACATTCTTTTTATCAGCACATGAAACATTCTCCAGTATAGACCACATCTTGGGCCACAAACAAAGTATCAACAAATTCAAGAAAGTGGAACTCATATCAAGTGTCTCTTCTGAGTACAATGGGATATAACTAGAAATCAATAACAATAAGAACCTCATATACTACATGAACACATGCAAATTGAACAACATGCTCTAGAACAACCAATGGGTCAATAAAGAAATTAAAACGGAAATTTAAAAATTACTTGAAAAAATAAAAATAAAATTACAACATACCAAAATCTATGGGACACAAAAAGCAGTACGAAGAGGAAAGTTTAAAGCAATAAATGCCTATATCAAAAAAGTAGAAAGACTACAAATATACAATCTAACAATGCACCTCAAAGAACTAGAAAAACAAAAACAGAAAAATACATATTTAGTAGAAGAAAAGAAAAAATTAAAATTTGTGCTGAAATAATAAAATTGAGACTAAAACTACCAAAAATCAGCAAAATGTAAAGTTAGTTTTTTTTTAAGATAAATAAAATTAACTTACTGCTGGCTAGTCTAACCAAGAAAAAAAGACCCAAATAAACAAAATCAGCAATAAAAAGGAGATATTAGAACAGATACCATAAAAATGCAAAGACTCATTACAGACTGTTATGAATATAGGCCAACAAACAGGAAAACATTGAAGAAATAGACAAATTCTTTGACACCTAAAACCTATGAAGATTAAACCAAGAAGAAATGGAAAACATAACCAATAAAGAATAATGAGATCAAAGCTGTAATAAGAAGTCTCAAAAAAAAAAAAAGCCAAGGATCTGATGAATTAACTGCTGAATTCAACTAACACTGGCCAGGCATGGTGGCTCATGCCTGTAATCCCAGCATTTTGGGAGGCCAATTTGGGTGGATCACTTGTGGTCAGGAGTTTGAGACCAACCTGGCCAACATGGTGAAACCCCATGTCTACCAAATATACAAAAATTAGCTGCACATGGTGGTGTATGCCTGTAATCCCAGCTACTCAGGAGGTTTCCAAAACCATGAAGAGAAAACAATATTACCCTGATACGAAAATCAGACAAGAACAGAATCAATAAAGAAAACTTCATGTCAATTTTAGATGCAAATTAAATTTGCATCTTATAAACTTAGATGCAAAAATCCTTAATAACATGCAAGCAAACCAAATCCAAAACACATTGTATAAAGATCATCCACCTGATCAAGTGATTTATCCTAGGGGTTCAGGAATCATTCAACATATGCAAAGTAATAAACATATTATGTCACATCAACAAAATCAAGAACAAAGACCATATGATTGTTTTAATAGATGGAAAAAAAGCATTTGATAAAATTCAACATTCCTTTATTATAAAAGTCATCCATAAAGTGGGTATCCAATAAACACACTTCAACTTAATAAAGGCCATACATGACAAACCCACAGCTAACACTATATTAAATATAGAATAATTGAAGACCTTTTCCTAAGATATAGAAGAAGATCAAAACATTTACGTTCACCACCTTTATTCAACATAATACTGCAAGTTGTGGCCAGAGCAATTAGGCAAGAGAACAAAAAAGAGCATCCAAATAGGACAAAAGTAGGTAAACAATTTTTTTTTCACAGACATCATAATGTTATACTTAGTGCAGGATACAGTATCAAAATGCAAAAATCAGTAGCATTTTTATATGCCAAAAGTGATTAATCTGTAAAAGAAATCAACCTTATTTACCATAGTTACAAAGAATACAAAATATCTGGGTATCAATTTAATCAAAGAAGTGAAAGATCAATCCAAAGAAAACTATAAAATATTAAAGAAATAAGTAGAACACAAAGAAATGTAAAGATATTCAATACTCATGGATCAAAAGAATTAATATTGTTAAAATGACAATACTACCCAAAGCAATTTGCAGATTCAATGCCATCCCTATCAAAATTCCAACAGCATTCTTCACAGAAATATTTTTAAAATCCCAAAATGTATATGGAACTACAAATGAACACAAATAGTCAAAGCAATTCTGAATAAAATTACATGATAAATAAGTCCTAGTGTTTTATAACACTGAAGGATGACAATAGTTAATCATAACCATAATGTAGTATATAGTTTGAAATAACTAGACAGAGGATACTAAATGTTTGCAACATAACACAATGATAAAAGTTTGAGATGATGGATATGCCAATTATCTAAATCACTATTATATTGAAAAGTCACCATATACTACATAAAGGTGAACAATTAGTGTATGTTAATTAGCAAAATAAAAGGAAAAAAAGCTGGAAGCATCAAACTACTTGACTTCAAAATTTACTACGAATTTCTAGTAACAAAATTAGTATAGTACTGGTATAAAAACACACATATGTATCAATGGAAAAGAAGAGACAACCCAGATATATATCCACACATTTACAAACAACTCATCTTTGACAAAGGCACTTATACAATGAGAAAAGAACAGTCTCTTCAATAAATGTTGCTGAGAAAATTGAATAACTATATGCAGAAGAATGAAGCTAGATTCCTATATATCTCCCCAAACAAAATCAAGTAAAAACAAATTAAAAACTTAAATCTAAGACCTAAAACAAGAAAACTACCAGAAAAACAACATTGGGAAAAGACTCTAAGACATTTGTCTTGACAAATATTTTTGTGTAAGACCTCAAAAGCATAGGCAACCAAAGCAAAATTAAAAAATGATATTACATCATGCTACAGGGGTTATGCACAGCAAAGGAGACAACCAAAAAAATAAAGAGACAATCCACAGGACGAGAGAATAATATTTGCAAACCTTCTATCTGTCAAAGAATTAATAACTGGAATATATAAGGAGCTCAAACAAGTTAATAGCAAAAATATAAATAATACAATTTTTAAATGGGCAAAAGATCTGAATAGACATTTTTCAAAATAATACATACAAATTGCCAATACATATATCAAATAGTGCTCAACATAACTAATGATCAAAAAATGCAAATCAAAATTACAATAAAATATTATTTCATGCCAATTAAAATGGCTGTTATTAAACAACAGACAATAAAAATGCTGGCAAGGTTGGGGTAAAAGGGGAACCTTCATACACTGTTGGTTAGAATGTAAATTAGTACAGCCAATATGGAGAAGAGTATGGAGGCACCTCAGAAAACCAGAAAAAGAACTACCATATGATCAGTCATTTACACTACTGGAGGTATATTTAAAAAAAATAAATTAATATATGAAAGAGGTATCTGCATTCCCATGCTTATTGGAGCATTACTCACAGTAGGTAAAATATGGAATCAACCTGAGTTCCCATCAATGAATGCGTGAATAAAGAAAATGTGGTATATTTACATGACAGAATACTATTCATCAATAAAAAAGAATTAACTCCTGTCCTTTGCTGTAACTTGCATGAAACTGGAGGTCATTACAGTAAGTGAAATAAGTCAAGCTCAGAAAGACAAATATCACACATTCTCACTCACATGTAGGAGCTAAAAAAGTGGATCTCATAAAGATGGAGATAAGATTGGTGGTTACCAGAAGTTAGGAAGAATAGAAAAAAGGAGAGAATAACGAAGACTTATTGGGGTTCTGTTCCAAGATGGCCAAATAGGAACAGCTCAGGTCTGCAGCATGATTGAAGCAGAAGACGAGTGATTTCTGCATTTCCAGCTAAGGTACCTGATTTATCTCATTGGGACTGGTTGGACAGTGGGTGCAGCCCACAGCAGGTGAGCCAAAGCAGGGCAGGGCATCACCTCAACTGGGAAGCACAAGGGGTTGGGGGATTTCCCTTTCCTAGCCAAGGAAATCTGTGACAGACTGTACCTGGAAAAACAGGACACTCCTGCCCAAATACTGCACTTTCCCCATGGTATTAGAAACCAGTAGACCAGAGATTCTCTCAGGTGCATGGCTCGCTAGGTCCCACACCCATGGAGCCTTACTCACTGCTAGTGCTGCAGTCTGAGATTGACCTGTGAGGCTGCAGCCTGGTGAGGGGAGAAGCATCTGCCATTGCTGAGGCTTGAGTAGGTAAACAAAGTGGCTGGAAAGCTTGAACTGGGTGGAGCCCACCACAGCTCAGCAAGGCCTACTGCCTCCATAGACTCCACTTCTGTGGGCAGGGCATAGCTGAACAAAAGGCAGCAGAAAATTATGCAGACTTAACCGCCCCAGTCTGACAGCTCTGAAGAGAACAGTGGTTCTCCCAGCATGGCATTTGAGCTCTGAGAATGGACAGACTGCCTCCTCAAGTGGGTCCCTGACCCCCATGTAGTCTAACTGGGAGACACCTCCCAGTAGGAGCCAACAGACACCTCATATAGGTGGCTGCCCCTTTGGGAGGAAGATTCCACAGGAAGGATCAGGCAGCAATATTTGTTGTTCTGCAATATTTGCTGTTCTGCAGCCTCCTCTGGTGATACCCAGGCAAACAAGGTTTGGAGTGGACCTCCAGCAAACTCCAACAGACCTGCAGCTGAGGGACCTGACTGTTAGAAGGAAAACGAACAAATAGAAAGGAATGGCAACAATATCAAAAAAAAAAGGGCATCCACGCCAAATCCCCATCTGTAGGTCACCAACATCAAAGATCAAAGGTAGGTAGATAAAACCAAAAAGATGGGGAGAAACCAGAGAAGAAAATCTGAAAATTCTAAACACCAGTGCTTCTCTTCTCCTCCAAAGGATCACAGGTCCTTGCCAGCAATAAAACCAAGCTGGATGGAGAATGACTTTGATGAGTTGACAGAAGTAGGCTTCAGAAGGTCGGTAATAAATTTCTCTGAGCTAAGGGAGCATGTTCTAACCCATCACAAGGAAGACAAAAACCTGGAAAAAAATGTTAGACGAATGACTAACTAGAATAAACAGCTTAGAGAAGAACATAAATGACCTGATGGAGCTGAAAACCATGGCACAAGAACTTCGTGACACATGCAGAAGCTTCAATAGCCAATTCAATCAAGTACAAGAAAGCATATCAGTCACTGAAGATCAAAATAATGAAATAGAGTGAGAGGACAACATTAGAGAAAAAAAGAGGGAAAAGAAATGAACAAATGCTTCAAGAAATATGGGACTATGTGAAAAGACCAAATCTACGTTTGATTGTTGTACCTGAAAGTGACAAGGAGAATAGAACCAAGTTGGAAAACACTCTGCAGGATATTGTCCAGGAGAACTTCCCCAACCTAGCAAGGAAGGCCACATTCAATTTTAGAAAATACAGAGAACACCACAAAGATATTCCCAGAGAAGAGCAAACACAAGACACATAATTGTCAGATTCACCAAGGTTGAAATGAGGGAAAAAATTTTAAGGGCAGCCAGAGAGAAAGGTCGAGTTACCCACAAAGGGAAGCCCATCAGACTAACTGTTGATCTCTTGGCAGAAACTCTACAAGCCAGAAGAGAGTGGGGGTCAATATTCACCATTTTTATAGAAAAGAATTTTCAACCTAGAATTTCATATCCTGCCAAATTAAGCTTCATGAGTAAAGGAGAAATAAAATCCTTTACAGAAAAGCAAATGCTGAGAGATTCTGTCACCACCAGGCCTGCCTTACAGGAGCTCCTGAAGGAAGCACTAAACATGGAAAGAAACAATCGATATCAGCCACTGCAAAAACATGTCAAATTGAAAAGACCATCGGTGCTATGAAGAAACTGCATCAATTAATGGGCAAAATAACCAGCTAACATCATAATGACAGGATCAAATTCACACATAACAATATTAACCTTAAATGTAAATGGGCTATATGGCCCAATTAAAATAGACTGTCAAATTGGATAAAGAGTCAAGACCCATCAGTGTGCTGTATTCAGGAGACACATCTCATGTGCAGAGACACACATAGGCTCAAAATAAAAAGATGGAGGAAGATCTACCAAGCAAATGGAAAGAAAAAAAATAAAGAGGGGTTGCAATTCTCATCTCTGATAAAATAGACTTTAAGCCAACAAAGATCAAAAGAGACAAAGAAGGCCATTATATAATGGTAAATAAATCAATTAAACAAGAAGAGCTAACTATCCTAAATATATATGCACCGAATACAGGGGCACCCAGATTCATAAAGCAAGTCCTTAGAGACATACAAATTGACTTAGACTCCCACACAATAATAATGGGAGATTTTAACACCTTACTGACAATATTATACAGATCAGTGAGACAGAAGGATAACAAGGATATCAAGAACTTGAACTCAGCTCTGCACCAAGCGAACCTAATAGACATCTACAGAACTCTCCACACCAAATCAACAGAATATACATTGTTCTCAGCACCACATTGCACATAGTCTAAACTTGACCACATAATTGGAAGTAAAGCACTCCTCAGAAAATGTAAAAGAACAGAAATCACAACAATGGGCTCTCAGACCACAGTGCAATCAAATTAGAATTCAGAAGTAAGAAACCCATTCAAAACTGCACAACTACATGCAAACTGAACAACCTGCTCCTGAGTGACTACTGGGTAAATAACGACGTGAAGTCAGAAAGAAAGATGTTCTTTGAATCCAATGATAACAAAAACACAATGTACCAGAATCTTTTGGACACATTTAAAGCATTGTGTATAGGGAAATTTACAGCACTAAGTGCCTACAAGAGAAAGCAGGAAAGATCTAAAATTGACACTCTAACATCACAATTAAACAAAACAGAGAAGCAAGAGCAAACAAACTCAAAGCTAGCAGAAGGCAAGAAATAACTAAGATCAGAGCAGAATTGAAGGAGATAGAGACAAAAGAAAAAACCTTCAAAAAGATCAATGAATGCCAGAGCTGGGTGTTTTCCTTTTTTTTTTTTTTTTTTTTTTTTTTTTAGATCAACAAAATTGGTAGACCACTAGCAAGACTACTAATGAAGAAAAGAGAGAAGAATCAAATAGATGCAATAAAAAATGACAAAGGGGATATCACAACCCATCCCACAGAAATACATACTACCATTGGAGAATACTATAAACACCTCTATGCAAATAAACTGGAAAATCTAGAAGAAATGAATAAATTCCTGGACACATACACCCTCCAAAGTCTACACCAAGAAGAAGTTGAATCTCTGAATACACCAATAACAGGCTCTGAAATTGAGGCAATAATAGCCTACCAACCAAAAAATGTCCAGGACCAGATGGATTCACAGCCGATTTCTACCAGAGGTACAAAGAGGAGCTGGTGTGATTCCTTTTGAAACTACTTCAATCAATAGAAAAAGAAGGAATCCTCCCTAACTCATTTTATGAGGCCAGCATCATCCTGATACCAAAGCCTGGCTGAGACACACACACAAAAAAGAATTTTAGGCCAATATCCCTGATGAACATTGATGCGAAAAATCCTCAATAAAATACGGGGAATAAAATACTCCTTTGTGAGGAGATCCACCTACGACCTCGGGTCGTCAGACCAACCAGCCCAAGGAACATCTCACCAATTTCAAATTGGGTAAATGGTCTTTTCACTCTCTTCTCCAGCCTCTCTCGCTACACTTCAACCTCCCTGTCCTTCCAGTCCCAGTTCTTTTTCCTGTCTAATAGAGACAAAGGAGACATATTTTATCTGTGGAACCAAAACTCCAGTGCCAATCATGGACTCGGGAAGACAGTCTTCCCTTGGTGTTTAATCACTGTGGGGATGCCTGCCCTGATTATTCACTGCCATTCTATTGGTGTCTGATCACCATGGGGACACCTGCCTTGGTCATTCACCCACATTACCTTGGTGGCAAGTCAATTTGTGGGGACACCTGCTTTGGCTGCTCACCCACATTGCAGCCCAGGGCTGCTCACTGTCCCTCTTCTCCGTGTCTCTACCCTCTCTTTTCTCTGGGCTTGCCTACTTCACTATGGGCAACTTTCCACCCTCCATTCCCCTTCCCCTTAGCCTGTGTTCTCAAAAACTTAAAACCACTTCAACTCTTGCCTGACCTAAAACTTAAGCATCTTATTTTCTTCTGCAAAACTACTTGGCCCCAATACAAACTTGATAATGGCTCTAAATGGCCAGAAAATGGCACTTTCAATTTCTCCATCCTACAAGAGCTCGATAATTTTTTGTCAAGAAATGGGCAAATGGTCTGAGGTGCCTGATGTCCAGGCATTCTTTTACACATCAGACCCTCCCTAGTCTCTGCTCCCAATGCAACTCATCCCAAATCTTTCTTCTTTCTCTCCTGTCTGTTCCTCCAGTCTCCACTCCAAGCTCTAAGTCCTTTGAATCTTCCTTTTCAACGGACCCAACGTTCCTCTCCCCTCCTCCCCAGGCTGCTCCCTCATGGCCAGATTTTCTCCTTCTCATCGGTCACTCCCACCTACTCTCCCACTGAAACTTCCACCTGTCAATCTCTACCCACACAAGGCAAATGGTTCTTGGGCAAATGAAAATATCCCCAGCCTCACAGGCCCATTCTATTCTGTCGTCATTTCATAAAATCTTCCATGTAGTTTACAAGCTGCCAGCCTGCCTCTTAGAACCTCTCATTTCCTCTCCATCATGGAAATCTATCCTCAAGGAAATTACTTCTCAGTGTTCCATTTGTTATTCTACTATTCCTCAGGGATCATTCAGGCCCCTTCCCTTCCCTATACATCAACCTTGGGGATTTGCCCCTGCCCAGGACTGGCAAATTGACTTTACTCACATGCTCTGAGTCAGGAAACTAAAATACCTTTTGGTCTGGGTAGATACTTTCACTGGATGGGTAGAGGTCTTTCCCACAGTGTCTGAGAAGGCCACCATGGTTATTTCTTCCCTTCTGTCAGAAATAATTCCTCGATTTGTCCTTCCCACCTCTATACAGTCCGATAACAGACCGGCCTTTATTAGTCAAATCACCCAAGCAGTTTCTCAGGCTCTTGGTATTCGGTGGAAACTTCATACTCCTTATCGTCCTCAATCTTCAGGAGAGGTAGAATGGACTAATGGTCTTTTAAAGACACACCTCACCAAACTCAGCCTCCAACTTAAAAAGGACTGGACAGTACTTCTACCACTTGCCCTTTTCAGAATTTGGGCCTGTCTTCGGGATGCTACAGGGTACAGCCCATTGGAACTCCTGTAGGGACACTCGTTTTTATTAAGCCCCAGACTCATTTCAGACACCAGCCCTCTAGGTGATTACCTTCCAGTCCTCCAGCAGGCTAGACAGGAAATTTGCCAGGCTGCTAATCTTCTCTTGCCTACTCCAGATTCCCAGCCATATGAAGACACCTCAGCTGGATGATCAGTTCTTGTTAAGAATCTGACAAACTTTACAACCTCGGGGGAGCAGACCCTACTTAGTCATCTATAGTACCCCAAAGGCTGTTTGTCTGCAGGACCGCACCCCCCCCCATTAGGTTCATTGTTCCAGAATAAAGCTGTGTCCGTCGGACAGCCAGCCTGATCTCCCCTCTTCCTCCTGGAAGTCGCAATTACTCACCCCTACTTCCCTTAAACTCACTCGCATTTCTTAAGAACAGTAATAACCCTTATGGTCCTAATACACCCTTTCATTTTTATTAGATCTCTTCTTCCTTACCCTACTCTTTACAACAGGGCTTTACACAGTCACCCCCCACTACTTGGACTGCACACCAAAAACTTGTCATCCCTACTATCTTCTATCTAGTCATACTCCTATTCACCATTCTCAACTTCTCGTAAATGCCCTGCCCTTGTTTATACGGCTGGTTTACACTTTTCCTCCAAACCATCATAGTGCATATCTCCTGGTACTCTCCCCAGTCCGCCACTCTTGACTCCCTCTTGGAGTGGATGGATGATCTTTGCTGACACGGCATGCTCCAATACCTCCACCCTGATGAAGTCCTATTCTTCACTTTTATACTCGCTCTTATTCTCTCTCCTGTTCTTATGCCAACCTCTACCTCTCAACAGCTATCTCCACCACACTATCAATCTCACTCACTCTCTCTTAGCCATTTCTAATCCTTCTTTAACAAACAATTGCTGGCTTTGCATTTCTCTTTCCTCCAAAATCGCTGAGGCATCAACTTACTCACTGCTGAAAAAGTGAGTATATTTTTAAATAAAGACTGTTGTTTTTACTTAAATCAATGTGGCCTGGTATATGACAACATAAAAAAACTCAAGGATAGAGCCCAAAAGCTTTCCAACCAAGAAAATAATTGCTTTGAACCCCCTTGCACACCATCTAATTGGATGTCCTGGGTACTCCCAATTCTTAATCCTTTAATACCTATTTTTCTCCCTCTTTTATTTGGACCTTGTGTCTTCCGTTTAGTTTCTCAATTCATACAAAACCGCATCCAGACCATCACCAATAATTCTATATTACAAGTGCTCCTTCTACCAAACCCACAATATCACTCCTTACCCCGAAATCTTTCTTCAGTTTAATGTCTCCCACAGTAGGTTGCTGTGCTGCCCCTAATCCCGCTCGAAGCAGCCCTGAGAAAGATCGCCAATTATTTTTCCAAACCACCCCCAAAAATTTTCGCTGCCCCAACACTTCACCACTATTTTGATTTCTTTTTATTATTAATATAAGAAGACAGGAATGTCAGGCCTCTGAGCCCAAGCTAAGCCATCATGTCCTCTGTGACCTGCACGTATACATCCAGATGGCCTGAAGCACCTGAAGATCCACAAAATAAGTGAAAATAGCCTTAACTGATGACATTCCACCATCGTGATTTGTTCCTGCCCCACGCTAACTGATACGATATATTCTCTCCTGCCCATAAGGAGGTACTTTGTAATATTCTCCCCCGCCCTTAAGAAGGTACTTCACAATATTCTCCCCGACCCTTAAGAAGGTACTATTTAATATTCTCCCCACCCTTGAGAATGTACTTTGTACACCTATTGCAAACCTATAAGAACTAATGATAATCCCACCACCCTTGTTGACTCTCTTTTCTGACTCAGTCCGCCTGCACCCAGGTAATTTAAAAGCTTTATTGCTCACACAAAGCCTATTTGGTGGTCTCTTCACACGGACGCATGTGACAATTGTATATTTAGAAAACTCCATCATTTCAGCTCAAAATCTCCTTAAGCTGATAAGCAACTTCAGCAAAGTCTCAGGATACAAAATCAATGTGCAAAAATCACAAGCATTCGTATACACCAATAACAGACAAACAGAGAGCCAAATCATGAGTGAACTCCCATTCATAATTGCTTCAAAGAGAATAAAATTCCTAGGAATACGACTTATAAGGGATGGGAAGGACCTCTTCAAGAACTACAAAACACTGCTCAATTAAAGAAAAGAGGACACAAACAAATGAAAGAACATTCCATGCTCATGGATAGGAAGAATCAATATTGTGAAAATGGCCATACTGCCCAAGGTAATTTATAAATTCAATGCCATCCCCATCAAGTTACCAATGACTTTCTTCACAGAATTGGAAAAAACTACTTTAAAGTTCATATGGAACCAAAAAAGAGCCTGCATTACCAAGACAATCCTAAGCAAAAAGAACAAAGCTGAAGGCATCATGCTACCTGACTTCAAATTATACTACAAGGCTACAGTAACCCAAACATCATGGTACTGGTACCAAAAAAGATATATAGACCAATGGAACAGAACAGAACCTCAGAAATAACACCACACGTCTACAACCATCTGTTCTTTGACAAACCTGACAAAGACAAGCAATAGGGAAAGAATTCCCAATTTAATAAACGATGCTGGGAAAACTTCCTAGCCATATGTAGAAAGCTGAAACTGGAACTTTTCCTTACACTTTATACAAAAATTAATTCAAGATGGATTAAAGACTTAAATATTAGACCTAAAACCATAAAAACCCTAGAAGAAAGCCTAGACAACACCATTCAGGACATAGGCATGGGCAAAGGCTTTAAGGCTAAAACACCAAAAGCAATGACAACAAAAGCCAAAATAGACAAATGGGATCTAACTAAACTAAAGAGCTTCTGCATGGCAAAAGAAACTACCATCAGAGTGAACAGACAACCTACAGAATGGGAGAAAATTTTTGCAATCTACCCATCAGACAAAAGGCTAATATCCAGAATCTACAAAGAACTCAAACGAATTTAAAGAAGAAAACAAAAAAAAAACCCATCAACAAGTGGGCAAAGGATATGAACAGACACTTCTCAAAAGAAGACATTTATGTAGCCAACAGACACATGAAAAAATGCTCATCATCACTGGTCATCAGAGAAATGCAAATCAAAACCACAATGAGATACCATCTCACACCAGTTAGAATGGCGATCATTAAAAAGTCAGGAAACAACAGGTGCTGGAGAGGATGTGGAGAAATAGGAATGCTTTTACATTGTAGGTGGGAGTGTAAATTAGTTCAACCATTGTGGAAGACAGTGTGACGATTCCTCAAGGATATAGAACTAGAAATAGCATTTGACCCAGTGATCCAATTACTGGTTATATACCCAAAGGATTATAAGTCATGCTACTGTAAAGACACATGCACACGTATGTTTATTGCAGCAGTATTCACAATAGCAAAGACTTGAAACCAACCCAAATGTCCATCAATAATAGACTGGATTAAGAATATGTGGCACGTATATGCTGTGGAATACTATGCAGCCATAAAAAAGGATGAGTTCATGTCATTTGCAGGGACATGGATAAAGCTAGAAACCATGATTCTCAGCAAACTATCACAAGGACAGAAAAACAAAGACTGCATGTTCTCACTCATAGTTAGGAGTTGAACAATGAGAACTCTTGGACACAGGGCCAGGAACATCACAAGTTGGGGCCTGTCAGGGGGTGAGGGGCTGGGGAAGGGGTAGCATTATGAGAAATACCTAATGAAAATGACGAGTTGATGGGTACAGTAAACCAACATGGTACATGTATACCTATATAACAAACCTGCACATTGTGTACATGTACCCTAGATCTTAAAGTATAATAAAAAGAAGACTTATTAATGTGTAAAAAATACCATTAGATAGAATAAATAAGACATAGTGTTTGATAAACCATTACGGTGACCATAATTTACAATTATTTATTGTACATTACAAGATATCTAGAAGACAATAATTTAATGTTTCTAGCATGAAGAAAAAATATATTTGATGTGATGGATATTAAAAGTATACTGACTTGATCATTACTAAATATATGAATTTTAAATTAACACATATATACCCCAAATTATGTAAATCTATTATACATCAATTAAAAATTGGTTTTAAAAAATATTTATTTATGGAAAAATATTTTAAAAGATATTCAATGATCATGGATTGAAAGAATCAATACCGTGAAAATGGCCATACTGCCAAAAGTAATTTATAGATTCAATGCTATCCCCATAAAGCTACTATTGACTTTCCTCACAGAATTGGAAAAAATTACGTTAAATTTCATATGGGACCAAAAAGGAGCCCGCATAGCCAAGAGGATGCTAAACAAAAAGAACAAAGCTGGAGGCATCACACTACCTGATTTCAAACAATATTAAAAGGCTACAGTAACCAAAAACAGCATGGCACTGGTACCAAAATAGACATATAGACCAATGGAAGAAAACAGAGGCCTGAGAAATAATGCCACACATCTACAACTCTCTGAACTTTGACAAACCTGACAAAAACAAGCAATAGGAAAAGGATTCCCTATTTAATAAATGGTGTTGGGAAAACTGGCTAGCCATATGCAGAAAACTGAAACTGGACCCCTTCCTTACACATAATACAAAAATTAACTCAAGATGTATTAAAGACTTAAATGTAAGACCTAAAACCATAAAAACCCTACAAGATAACCTAGCCAATACTATTCAGTACATAGGCATGGTCAAAGACTTCATGACTAAAATACCAAAAGCAATGACAACAAAAGCCAAAATTGACAAATGGGATCTAATTAAACTAAAGAGCTTCTGCACAGCAAAATGAACTATCATCACAGTGAACAGGCAACCTACACAATGGGAGAAAATTTTTGCAATCTATCTATCTATCTGACAAAGGGCTAATATCCAGAATCTACAAGGAACTTAGACAAATTTACAAGAAAAAAACAAACAACCCCATCAAAAAGTGGACAAAGGATATGTACAGACACTTCTCAAAAGAAGACATTTATGCTGGCAACAAACATACGAAGAAAAGCTCATCATCACTGGTCATTAGAGAAATGCAAATCAAAACCACAATGAGATACCATCTCACACCAGTTAGAATGGCGATCATTAAAAAGTCAGGAAACCACAGGTGCTGCAGAGGATGTGGAGAAAAAGGAATGCTTTTACACTGTTGATGGGAGTGTAAATTATTTCAACCATTGTGGAACACAGTGTGGCAATTTTTCAAGGATCTAGAACCACAAATACCATTTGACCCAGCAATCCCCTTAGTGGGTATATACTCAAAGGATTACAAATCATTCTACTATAAAGAGACATTCACATGTATGTTTATCACGGCACTGTTCACAACAGCAAAGACTTGGAACCAACCCAAATGTCCGTCAGTGACAGACTAAATAAAGAAAATGTGGCAGATATACACCACGGAATTCTATGCAGCCATAAAAAAGGATGAGTTCATGTCCTTTGCAGGGGCATGGATGAAGCTAGAAACCATCTTTCTCACCAAACTAACACAAGAACAGTAAACCAAACACCACATGTTTTTGCTTATATGTGGGAGTTGAACAATGAGAACACATGGACACAGTGCAGTGAACATCACACACTGGGGCTTGTCGGGGGCTGTGGGGCTAGGGGAGGGATAGCCTTAAGAGAAATACTTAATGTAGATCAAGGGTTGATGGGTGTAGCAAACAACCATGGCATGTGTATACCTATTTAACAAACCTGCATGTTCTCCACATGTACCCCAGAACTTAAAATTATATTTAAAAAAATGCAGTAGCTAGGGAGAGCCTTACTAAGAAGGTATCTTTTGATTAAAGACCTTGAAAGAAATCGTATAATAAAAGAAGACAGGCTATCAGAATGGTAAGAAGAAAAACAAAAGAGGAAAGAACTGGGGCAGGTATGACAAACTATTCAAGTCTTTACGAGTTTCTTGAATTACATTTGAGAATTGAAGCAAAACATTTAAAAATATTGTTGTGCTGCTCATCATATGTAATGAAAATATGCGTGACAACTAAACTTTTTAAATGGTAAGGATAGTAAGACCTATATGAAGGATAGCTTTAAATATTGTATTCCAAGTGGTAAAATGTTGATAATAGCAAACTGTGATAAGTTATATATGTATATTTTAATTTCTAGAAAAACTACTAAATATACAAAAAGTGGTATGCTCAAGAACACTGAAAATTGTGGTAAGATGGCCAACTAGATGCAGGGAGGAAAAACATCTGCCACTGAGAGACCAGGACGTCAGAATGACTGGTGCAACCCTAGATCTTTAGAGGGAAGACATTGAGAGTGGATGAAGGGCAGACAAAAATGCTCGGCTGAATGGGAATCCTGCACAGGAATACCACACATTGGGACTCATTCCTGGCCCTCCAATGACTCCTGGGAAAAGGGTGAGTTGAACAGGCAAGGAGTAACCCATTCTCACCACAGGCCTCTGGAATCCTGGCAGAAGAAGTTTCTATGACCACCACAGATACTTGAGTTGTGAGAGAGAGCTGCTTAGAGAAGGGTTAGGGGCAGAACTCCAGTAAGTGCAGAGCCCAGAGGGTTTGGTATGGAAGCATCTGTAGTGGAGCACAGCTGGGAACACCCATTCTCCCAGGCTAAACTTGCTCCCATAGAGGACTTTAGCCATAGGCAAACTTTTGGACCCGAACCCTGCAGGGTGGTCACAGTCATGAGACAAGGCTGGTTTAATCTGAGAACTCCTCAGTCTGCTGGCCTTGCCCAGGCCCCAGCCTGGCCATTCCTGCTTGCAGTGTAGCCTCAGGTGCCTGGGGGCATCTCCTGGGTGCAGAAATAACAGCTCCTGCGCTGACAGACTGCACCTGATCAGCAGAGATCTCCAGCAGAGTGGTCCCTGCAGACACACACCAGCCTGCCCACACCCTCCTGCCATGGCAGCCTCTCCCAAGCCACTCTGCCTGAATGCTCTCACACAGCCACTTCCTATATCACTTTGCCAGCACATGTCTGGGTAAGCAAAGCCTACCTCCCTTTTCCCACCAGCACGTGTGTGCACATGAACCCTGCCATTCAGTGTGGCAAGTGTGAGTGTGCCCCATAACCCCTCCCATCACCTCATTACCATCACTGTTGAAGTGTTGGTGGGCACAGAGTCCGTGAGCCCTGCTCGCACCAGTGCCCCTCCCCTGTGCCACAACTACCACCAGCACAAAACTGGATACAAATAATAGTGGACCCACCTCTGCCCTGAGCAGCCACTGTGAAAGTGCACAGAGGGTGCACACAGTCCTCTGCCCACCAGTTACGCATCCCCATGCTAACACGACCACCGGTTCTGATATGGTTTGGCCATGTCCCCACCCAAATCTCAACTTGAATTATATCTGCCAGAATTCCCATGTGTGTGGGAGGACCAAGGGGAAGGTAATTGAATCATGGGAGCCTGTCTTTCCCATGCTATTCTCATGATAGTGAACAAGTCTCATGAGATCTGATGGGTTCGTCAGGGGTTTCCTTTTTTTTTATTTTATTTTTTTATTTTATTCCAATTTTGCTTCTTCCTCATTTCTTCTTGCCGCCACCATATAAGAAATGCCTTTTGCCTCCACCATGATTCTGAGGCCTCCCCAGCCATGTGGAACGGTAAATCCAATTAAACTTCTTTTTCTTTCATATCTCAGTTCTGTCTTTAATAGCAGGATGAAAATGAACTAATACAGTAAATTGGTACCCGTAGAGTGGGGTGTTGCTGAAAAGATACCCGAAAATGTGGAAATGACTTTGTAACTGGGTAACAGGCAGAGGTTGGAACAGTTTGGAAGGCTCAAAAGAAGACAGAAAAATGTGAGACAGTTTGGAACCGCCTAGAGACTTGTTGAATGGCTTTGACAAAAATGCTGATAATGATATGGGCAATGAAATCCAGGCTGAGGTGGTCTCAGATGGAGATGGGGAACTTGTTGGGAACTGGAGCAAAGGTGACTCTTGTTATGTTTTAGCAAAGAGACTGGAGGCATTTTGCCCCTGCCCTAGAGATTTGTGGAAATTTGAACTTGAGAGAGATGATTTAGGGTATCTGGCAGAAGAAATTTCTAAGCAGAAAAGCATTCAAAAGGTGACTTGGGTGCTGTTAAAGCATTCCATTTTAAAAGGGAAACAGAGCATAAAAGTTCAGAAAATTTGCAGCCTGACAATGCCATAGAAAAGAAAAACCTATTTTTTGAGAAGAAATCCAAGCTGGTTGTGGAAATTTGCATAAGTAGCAAGGAGCATAATGTTAATCCCCAAGACCATAGGGAAAATGTCTCCAGGCCATGTCAGAGACTTTTTGGCAGGCCTTCCTATCACAGGCCCAGAGGAAAGGGTGGTTTCACGGGCTGGGACCAGGGTCCACGTGCTGTGTGCAGCCTAGGGACTTGATGCCCTGCATCCCAGATGCTCCAGCCATGGCTGAAAAGAGCCAGTGTAGTGCTCAGGCTGTGGATTCAGAGGGTGGAAGCCCCAAGCCTTGGCAGATTCCACGTGGTATTGAGCCTGCGGGTGCACAGAAGTCAAGAATTGAGATTTGGGGACCTCTGCCTACATTTTGGAAGATGCATGGAAATGCCTGGATGCCCAGATAAAAGTTTGCTGCAGGGGCGAGACCCTCACCAGAATGGTAGATTGACTGACAGCTTGCATCGTGTGCCTGGAAGAGTTACAGACACTCAATCCAGCCCATGAAAGCAGCCAGGAGGGAAGCTACACCCTACAAAGCCACAGAAGTGGAGCTGCCCAAGACCATGGGAACCCAGCTCTGGCATCAGTGTGACCTGGATGTGAGACCTGGAGTCAAATAAGATCATTTTGGAGCTTTAAAATTTGACAGACCTGCAGGATTTTGGACATGCATGGGCCTTGTAACCCCTTTTGTTTTAGCCAATTTCTCCCATTTGAAATGGCTGTATTTACCCAATACCTGCACCCCCATTGTATCGAGGAAGTAATGAGCTTGCTTTCGATTTTGCAGGCTTCTAGGCAGAAGGGACTTACCTTGTCTCAGATGAGACTTTGGACTGTGGAGTTTTGAGTTAATGCTGAAATGAGTTAAGACTTTGGGGGACTGTTGGGAAGGCATAATTGGATTTGAAATGTGAGGACATAAGATTTGCAGGGTCCAGGGGCAGAATGATATGGTTTGGCTGTGTCCCCACCCAAATCTCAATTTGAATTGTATCTGCCAGAATTCTCACGTGTTGTGGGAGGGACCCAGGGGGAAATAACTGAATCATGGTGGTTAGTCTTTCCCGTGCTAGTCTCATGATAGTGAATAAGTCTCATGAGATCTGGTGAGTTTATCAGGGGTTTCTGCTTTTGCTTCTTCCTCAATTTTTCTTGCCACCACCATGTAAGAAGGGCATTTTGCATCCCACCATGATTCTGAGGCCTCCCCAGCCATGTGGCACTGTAATTCCAATTAAACCATTTTCTTCCCAGTATCGGATCTGTCTCAGGACTGCAGTGTGAAAACAAACTAATACAAGTGTAAATGCACACACAGATGCAGGCAGAGGCCCCCCAGTCTTTTGTGTCACTGCCACAGTTTGAACTGTTTCAAACACTCACATGGAGGCTGGAACCCCAGCACTCACTAGCACCCTACTGCAGCCAAAAAACTTGCAAACCACTTGCTACTGCTGCTGCCACTACTGACAAGTGTGAATGAGGATGGATCTCACTGCTACCACCCTACAAAGCACTTTGGCTGGCACCACCCATCAAAATATTGTGACCAGCAGTTCACAAATGCCATGGTCCCTCCAGTGCAGCAGTTTCCTATGATTGAGGATCCAGAGAACAAAGCCAGGACTTGATGACAGTTTCCCAGAGGGAAAGCACCCAGCCTAGGAGTCCTGAGCTGAAACTTGGACCCTTAAAATCTTCCAAAAACAAAGTCAGTCAACAAAATCCAACTTATACATCATAAAACCCCTGTGGTAATCAAATAAGATAAAAGAAAATAAATCACTCAAAGGACAGCAACTTCAAAGATTAAAGGAACATATGCCCAAAAAGATGAGAAAAAACAGTGCAAGAACTCTGACAACTCAAGAAGTCAGAGTGCCTTTTCCTGCAAATCACTGAACTAGTTGTTCATCAATGGTTCTTAATCAGGCTGAGATGGCGGAAATAATAGAAATAGAATTCAGAATATGAATAGGAAAGAAGGTAATCATGATTGGAATGCAGTGCTGGGTTTCAAAGAAAGCTAAGAATCACAATAAAATAATATAGCAGCTGACAGACAAAATAACCAGTATAGAAACAAATGTAACCAACTTGATAGAGCTGAGAAACACACTGCAAGAATTTTATAATGACATTGCAAGTATTAATAGAAGAATAAACAAATCTGAGGAAAGAGTCTCAGAGCTTGAATACTGGCCTTCTGAAATAAGGAAGTCAGATAAGAATAAAGAAAATAGAATAAAAAGAAATGAAGAAAATCTCTCAGAAATATGGAATTATGTAGAGACCAAATCAATGATTAATTGGCATCCCTGAAAAAGATGAGGAGAATGGAAGCAACTAGGAAAACCTATTTCAGCATATCATCCATGAGAACTTCCCCACCTAGGTAAAGAGGCCAACATTCAAATCAGGAAATGCAAAAAACTCCAAAAAGATACTTCATGAGAAGATCATCATCCAAGATACAAGATTATTAGAATCTCCTAGGGTAAAATGAAGAAAAAAATGTTAAAGCATCTAAACGGAAAGGAGAGGCCACCTAAAAAGAAAAGCCCAACAGTGAACCTATCAGCAGAAACCCAACAAGACAGAAGACACTAGGGACTATATTCAACATTCTTACAGAAAAAGAATATCATATCCAGCCAAACTAAGCTACAAAATCAAGGGAGAAATAAGGTTCTTTTCAGATAAGCAAATGCTGTGGGTATTGATTACTACCAAAATTGTCTCACAAGTGTTCCTGGAAAAAACACTAAATATGGAAAAAAGAACATTACCAGCCACTGGAAATACACATTTAAGTATACACAAGAGTGACACTATAAAGTAACCACACAAACAAGTCTGCTTAATAACGAGCTAAGAACACAATGACAGAATCAAATCCACACATATCAATACTAACATTGAATGTAAACCAGCTAAATGACATGAATAAAAAGGCACAGTGGTAGGCTGGATAAAGAAGCAAGACCCATTGGTATGCTGTCTTCAAGAGACCAATCTTATATGTAATGACACCCACAGGCTCAAAATAAAGGGATGGAGGAAAATGTACTAAGCAATTAGAAAACAGAAAAAAAAAGAATCATAATCCTAATTTCAGACAAAACAGACTTTAAACCAACAATGACATAAAAGACAAGAAAGGCCATTACATAATGATAAAGGGTTCAATTCAACAATAAGACCTAACTATTCTAAATACATATGCATCCAATACAGAAGCACTCAAATTTATAAAGCAAATTCTCAGAGACCTTCAGTGACACTTCAACTCCCACGCAGTAATAATGGAAGACTTCAACATCCAACTGACACTATAAAACTAATTACTGATTGCCCTGGCCAGAACTTCCCACATTGTGCTGAATAGGAGTGGTGAGAGAGGGCATCCCTGCCTTGTGCCAGTTTTCAAAGGGAATGCTTCCAGTTTTTGCCCATTCAGTATGATATTGGTTGTGGGTTTGTCATAAATAGCTCTTATTATTTTGAGATACTTCCCATCAATACCTAATTTATTGAGAGGTTTTAGCATGAAGAGCTGTTGAATTTTGTCAAAGGCCTTTTTTGTATCTACTGAGATAATCATATGGTTTTTGTTTTTGGTTCTGTTTATATGCTGGAATACATTTATTGATTTGCATATGCTGAACAAGCCTTGCATCCCAGGGATGAAGCCCACTTGTTCATGGTGGATAAGCTTTTTGATGTGCTGCTGGATTTGGTTTGCCAGTATTTTTTGAGAATTTTTGCATTGATGTTCATCAGGGATATTGGTCTAAAATTCTCTTTTTTGGTTGTGTCTCTGCCCAGCTTTGGCATCAGGATGATGCTGGCCTCATAAAATGAGTTAGGGAGGATTCCCTTTTTTTGTATTGATTGGAATAGTTTCAGAAGGAATGGTACCAGCTACTCCTTGTACCTCTGGAAGAATTCGGCTGTGAATCCATCTGGTCCTGGACTTTTTTTGGTTGGTAGGCTATTAATTATTGCCTCAATTTCAGAGACTGTTTGTGGTCCATTCAGGGATTCAACTTCTTCCTGGGTTAGTCTTGGGAGGCTGTATGTGTCCAGGAATTTATCCATTTCTTCTAGATTTTCTATTTTATTTGCATAGAGGTGTTTATAGTATTCTCTGATGGTAGTTTGTGCTTCTGTGGGATCGGCGGTCATATCCCCTTTATCATTTTTTATTGCATCTATTTGGTTCTTCTCTCTTTTCTTCTTTATTAGTCTTGCTAGCGGTCTATCAATTTTGTTGATCCTTTCAAAAAACCAGCTTCTGGATTCATTGATTTTTTGAAGGGGATTTTGTGTCTCTATCTCCTTCAGTTCTGCTCTGATCTTAGTTATTTCTTGCCTTCTGCTAGCTTTTGAGTGTGTATTTAAATAGGAAAAGAGGAAGTCAAATTGTCCTTGTTTGCAGATGACAGGATTGTATATTTAGAAAACCCCATCATCTCAGCCCAAAATCTCCTTAGGCTGATATGCAACTTCAGCAAAGTTTAAGGATTCAAAATCAATGTGCAAAAATCACAAGCATTACTATACACCAATAATAGAGAAACAGAGAGCCAAATCATGAGTGAACTCCCACTCACAATTGCTTCAAAGAGAATAAAATACCTGGGAATCCAACTTACAAGGGATGTGAAGGACCTCTTCAAGGAGAACTACAAACCACTGCTCAACAAAATAAAAGAGAACACAAACAAATGGAAGAACATTCCATGTTCATGGATAGGAAGAATCAATATCATGAAAATGGCCATACTGCCCAAGGTAATTTATATATTCAATGCCATCTCCATCAAGCTACCAGTGACTCTCTTAACAGAATTGGAAAAAAACTATTTTAAAGTTCACATAGAACCAAAAAAAGAGCCTGCATTGCCAAGTCAATCCTAAGCCAAAAGAACAAAGCTGGAGGCGTCATGCTACCTGACTTCAAACTAAATAAACAAAGCTAAAATTGACAAATGGGATCTAATTCAACTAAAGAGTTTCTGCACAGCAAGAGAAACTACCATCAGAGTGAACAGGCACCCTACAGAATGGGAGAAAATTTTTGCAATCTACTCATCTGACAAAGGGCTAATATCCAGAATCTACAAAGAACTCAAACAAATTTGCAAGAAAAAAAGAAACAACCCCATCAAAAAGTGGGTGAAGGATATGAACAGACACTTCTCAAAATAAGACATTTATGCAGCCAACAGACACATGAAAAAATGCTCATCATCACTGGCCAACAGAGAAATGAAAATCAAAACCACAATGAGATACCATCTCACACCAGTTAGAATAACGATCACTAAAACGTCAGGAAACAACAGGTGCTGGAGAGGATGTGGAGAAATAGGAAAACTTTTACATTGTTGGTGGGACTATAAACTAGTTCAACCATTGTGAAAGACAGTGTGGTGATTCCTCAAGCATCTAGAACTAGAAATACCATTTGAGCCAGCCATCCCATTACTGGGTATATACTCAAAGGATTATAAATCATACTGCTATAAAGACACATGCACGTATGTTTATTTCAGCACTATTCACAATATCAAAGACTTGGAACCAACCCAAATGTCCATCAATGATAGACTGGATTAAGAAAATGTGGCACATATACACCATGGAATACTATGCAGCCATAAAAAAGGATGAGTTCATGTCCTTTGTAGGGATATGGATGAAGCTGGAAACCGTCCTTCTCACCAAACTATCGCAAGGACAAAAAAACCAAACACTGCATGTTCTCACTCATAGGTTGGAATTGAACAAAGAGAACACTTGGACACAGGAAGGGGAACATCACACCCTGGGCCCTGTCATGGGGTGGGGGTAGGGGCAAGGGATAGCATTAGGAGATATACCTAATGTAAATGACGAGTTAATGGGTGCAGCACACCAACATGGCACATGTATACATAGGTAACAAACCTGCACGTTGGGCCGGGCGCAGTGGCTCATTCCTGTAATCCCAGCACTTTGGGAGGCTGAGGCGGGCGAATCACGAGGTCAGGAGATTGAGACCATCCTGGCTAACGTGGTGAAACCCCGTCTCTACTAAAAATACAAAAAATTAGCTGGGCATAGTCGTGGGCTCCTGTAGTCCCAGGTACTTGGGGGGCTGAGGCAGGAGAATGGCCTGAACTTGGGAGGCAGAGCTTGCAGTGAGCCAAGATTGCACCACTGAATTCCAGCCTGGGCGACAGAGCGAGACTCTGTCTCAAAAAAAAAAAAAAAGAAGAAGAAGAAGAAAAAAAACCCTGCACGTTGTGCCCATGTACCCTAGAACTTAAAGTATAAAAATAAAAATAAAAATAAAAAAACTAATTATTGAGGCAGAAAATTAATAAAGATATTCAGAAGCTGAACACAATACTGGACCAAATGGGTCTGATAGATATCTACAGAACTCTCCACCGAAAAGCAACAAAATATACATTTTTCTCATTACCACATGATACATAATCTAAAATCAGTCACACAGTTGGATTAATCTCAGCAAATGCAAAAAAAAAAAAAAATCCTGCCAACCACTGTCTCACACCACACCACAATAAGAATAGATATCAAGACTAGAAAAATTTCTCAAAACCATACAATTGATTCAGTACGTTGTTTCTGAATGGCATAAATAAATGATGAAATTAAGGCAGAAATCAATAAGTTCTTTGACACTAATGAGTACAAAGATACAACATAGCAGACTCTTTGAAACACAGAAAAGATAGTATTGAGAGAAATTTATAGCACTAAACACTAAGATCAAAATGTTAGAAAGTTCTAAAATTAACAACCTAACATCACAAGAAAAAAAAAAAATCTAGAAGCAATTGCAAACCAATTCCAAAGCTAGCAGAAGACAAGAGATAACCAAAATCATAGTGGAACTGAAGGAGATTGAGACATAAAATATTCAAAATATCAACAAGTCTAGTAGTATGTACTTTGAAAAAACTAATAACACAGACCTAGACCTAGGTAGACTAATAAAGAGAATACAAGAGAAGATCCAAACAAGCACAATTAGAAATGACAAAAGAGACGTTACCACTTACCCCCACAGAAATGAAAGCAACCATTAGAAAGTACCATAAACACTTCTGTTAACACAAACTAAAAATCTAGAAGAAATGGATGAATTCATGGACACATACACACTACCTAGACAGAAGCAGGAAGAAATTGAATCTCTAAACAGAACAATAGCAAGATCCAAAATTGACTCAGCAATAAATATACTACAAAAAAAAAAAACCCAAACCAAAGTGAAACAAAACCCAGAATCAAACGAATTTATAGCTAAATTCTACAAGATGTACAAAGAAGAGCTGGTAACATTCATACTGAAAATATTGCCCCGGAAATTAAGGAGATGGGACTCTTCTTCAACTTATTCTATGAGGCCAGGATCATCCTGATATAAAAACCTGGTAGAGATACAAAAAACAAACAAACAAACAACAACAACAACAAAAAAAACACACACCAATATCCTGGATGAACATTAATGCTAAAATTCTCAACAAAATACTGGCAAATGAAATCCAGAAGCACAACGAAAAGCTAATCTAAAATGATCAAGTAGGCTTTATCTCTGGGATGCAAGATTGGTTCAATATAATCAAATCAATAAATGTCATTCATCACCTAAGCAAATTAAAGCAGAAATCAAATGATTATCTCAATAGATGAAGAAAAGGCTTTTGATAGAATTCAACATACCTCAATGTTAAAAATTCTCAACCAACTAGGCATTGAAGGAACATACTTCAAAATAATAAGAGTCATCTATGACAAACCCACAGCCAACATCATACTGAATGGGCAAATTTGGAAGCATTCCTCTTGAAAACAAGCACAAAACAAGGATGCTCTCTCTCAGCACTCCCATTCAACATAGTATTGGAAATTCTTACTAGAGCAATCAGACAAGACAAATAAATAAAAGGAATCCAAATAGGGGGAGAGAAAATAAAACTATCCTCGTTTGCAGGTGACATGATTCTATACCTAGAAAACTTCACAGTCTTGGCCCCAAAGCCCCTTCAGCTGATAAGCAATTTCAGCAAATTCTCAGGATACAAAATCAATGTATAAGAATCACTAAAATTCCTACACACCAACAAGAGCAAAGACAAGAGCAAATTCAGGAAAGAAATTTCATTCACAATTACCTCGCAAAGAATAAAATATCCAGGAATACAACTAGCCAGGTAGGTGAAAGATCTCTACAAGAAGAATTATAAAATGCTGTCCAAGGAAGTCAGAGATGACACAAACAAATGGAAAAGCATTTCATGCCCATAGATAGAATCAATATTATAAAAATGACCATACTGCCCAAAGCAATTTAACGCTATTTCTATCAAATTACCAATGTAATTTTTCACAAAGCTAGAAAAAACTAGTCTACAATTCATATGGAACCAAAGAAAAACACAAATAGCCAAGGCAATCCTAAAAATAAAGGAATAAAGTTAAAGACATCAAACTTACCCAACTTCAAACTATACTACAGAGAAACAGTAACCAAAGCAGCATAGTACTGGAAAAAAAAAAACAGATATGTAGATCAATGAAACATAATAGAGAGCCCAGAAATAAGGTTATCTAATCTTCAACAAAGTTGACAAAAACAAGCACTGAGGAAAAGCTTTCCTCTACAATAAGTAGTGCTGGGATAACTGGCTAGCCATAAGCAGAAGATTGAAACAGGGTCCCTTCCATATACTGTATAAAAAAAAAACTCAAGATGGATTAAAGACTTAAGTGTAAAACCCAAAACTATAAAAACCCTGAGAGACAATGTCCAGCCAATACCATTCTAGACATAGGAACTGATGAAGATTTTATGACGAAGACACCAAAAGCAATTGCAACAAAAGCAAAAATTGACAAATGGTATGTAATTAAAGAGCTTCTACACAGCAAAATAAACTACCAACAGAGTAAACAGACAACCTACAGGAAATATTTGTGAAATATGCATCTGACAATTGTGTAATATCCGCATCTATAAGGAACTTAAACAAATTTACAAGGAAACACACAATCCCCTTAAAAAGTGGGCAAAGGACATGAACAGACTGTTTCAAAAGAAGACATACATGTGGCCAACAAGCATTCTTTTCCTAAAAAAAAGCTCAATATCACTGATCATTAGAGAAACGCAAATCAAACCACAAAGAGATACCATCTCACACTGGTTAGAATGGCTATTACAAAAAATAACAAATGGTGGCGAGATTGTGGAGAAAAGGGAATACTCATACAATATTGTTGGAAGTTTAAATTAGTTCAACCATTGTGGAAAGCAGTGTGGTGATTCCTCAAAAAGCTAAGAACAGAAATACCATTTGACTCAGAAATCCCACTTCAGGGTATATACCCAAGGAGATATAAATCATTCTATCATAAAGATGCATGCATACATACATTCATTGCAACACTATTTACAATAAAAGAGACATATAATCACCCTAAATGCCCATTAATGGCAGACTGGATAAAGAACATGTGGTAAATGTACACCATGGAATACAATGGAGCCATAAAAAAGAATGAGATCATCTCCTTTGCAGGAACATAGATGGAGATGGAGGTCATTTTCCTTAGCAAAGTAATGCAGAAACAGAAAGCCAAATATTACATGTTTTTACTTATAAGGGGGTGCTAAATGATGAGAACACATGAACACAAAGAGGGGAACAACAGGCACTGGGGCCTATCTGGATATGGAAGGTAAAATGAAGGAGATGATCAGAAAAATAACTATTAGGTACTGGGCTTGGTACTTGGGTGATGAAATAATCTGTATAAAAATCGCCCATACCACAACTTTACCTGTATGACAAACTTGTACATGTACCCCTGAACCTAAAATAAAAGTTTTTAAAAAGGCAATAAAGCAGGAGGGCCAAGATGGCCAAATAGAAACAGCTCTGGTCTGCAGCTCCCAGCAAGACCAACACAGAAGGTGGGTGATTTCTGTATTTCCAACTGAGGTACCCAGTTCGTCTCATTGGGACTGGTTAGGCAGTGAGTCCAACCCATGGAGGGCAAGCAGAAGCAGGGTAGGATATGGATTCACCTGGAAAGTGCAAGAGGCAGGGTACCTCCCTCCCTCAGCCAAGGGAAGCCTTAAGGAACTGTGCTACCAGGCCAGGTTTCTACACTTTTCCCACGGTTTTTGCAATCTACAGGTCAGGAGATTCCCTCATATGCCTACACCACCAGGGCCCTGAATTTCAAGCACAAAACTGGGCTATTGTTTGAGCAGACACTGAGCTAGCTGCAACAGTTGTTTTTCTTTATACCCTAGTGGTGCATGGAACCCCAGTGAGACAGAACCATTCACTCCCCTGGAAAGGAAACTGAAGCCAGGGAGCCAAGTGGTCTCTCTCAGCAGGTCCCACTCCGACGGAGCCCAGCAAGCTAAGAAGCACTGGCTTAAAATTCTTGCTGCCAGTACAGCAGTCTGAAGTCGACCTGAAACAATCGAGCTTGGTGAGAGGAGGGCCGTCTGCCATTACTGAGGCTTTAGTAGGTGTTTTTCCCCTGACAGTGCTAAGGAGGCTGGGAGGTCTGGGCTGGGCACAGCAAAGCAGCTGTAGGCAAACTGCTATTCTAGATTCCTCCTCACTGGGCAGGGCATCGCTGAAGAAAAGGTAACAGCTCCAGTTAGGGGCCTACAGAAAAAACCCTATTTCCCTGGGACAGAGCACTTGGGGGATGGGGTGGCTGTGGGCGCAGCTTCAGCGGATTTCATTATTCCTGCCTGCCAGCTGTGAAGAGAGCAGTTCATTCTGACAACAGGGATTCTCCCAGCATAGTGTTCCAGCTCTGCTAAGGGACATACAGCCTACTCAAGTGGGTCCCTGATCCCCGAGCCTCCTGACAGGGAGAAACCTCCCAGCAGAAGTTGACAGACACCTTATACAGGAGAGCTCCATCTGGCATCAGGCTGCTGCCCTCCTGGGATGGAGCTTCCAGAGGGAGGAACAGGCAGCAACCTTTGCTGTTCTGCAGGCTCCACTAGTGATACCCAGGTGAACGGGGTCTGGAGTGGACCTCCAGCAAACTCCAGCAGACCTGCAGAAGAGAAGCCTGACTGTTAGAAAAAAACCTGACAAAGAGAAAGCAAAAACATCAACATTAACATAAAGGACGCCCACAAAAATCCCCATCCTAAGGTCATCACCCTCAAAGATCAAAGGTAGAAAAATCCAGGAAGATGAGGAAAAACCAATAACAAAACAATGAAAATTCCAAAAACCAGAATGCTTCTCCAAATGATTGCAACTCATCTGCATAAAGAACACAAAAATGGACTAAGAATGAGATTGATCAATTGACAGAAGTAGGCTTCAGAAAGTGGGTAATAACAAACTCCTCAGAGCTAAAGGAGCATGTTCTAACCCAATGCCAAAAAGCTAAGAACCTTGATATAAGGTTAAAGGAACTGCTAACTAGAATAACCAGTTTAGAGAAGAATATAAATGTCTTGATGGAGCTGAAAAACACAGCACAAGAATTTTGTGAAGCATACACAAGTATCAATAGCAAAATCAATCAAGTGGAAGAAAGGATATCAGCGATTGTAGATCAACTTCATGAACTAAAGTGTGAAGACAAGATTAGAGAAAAAAGAATGAAAAGGAACGAACAAACACTCCAAGAAATAAGGAACTATGTGAAAAGATCAAATCTACAATTGATTGGTGTACCTGAAAGTGACAGAGAGAATGGAACCAAGTTGGAAAACACACTTCAGATATTATCCAGGAGAACTTTGCCATCCTAGCAAGACAGGCCAACATTGAGATTCAGGAAACAACAGAGAACACCACTAAGATATTCCTCGAGAAGAGCAATCCCAAGACACATAATCATCAGTTTCTACAAGGTTAAAACAAACAAAAAAATGTTAAGGGCAGCCAGAGAGAAAAATCAGGTTACCTACAAAGGAAAGCACATCAGACTAACACCAGATCTCTCTGCAGAAACTCTACAAGTCAACAGAGAGTGGGGACAAATATTCAACATTTTTAAAGAAAAGAATTTTCAACCCAGAATTTCATGTCCAGCCAAATTAAGCTTCACAAGAGAAGGAGAAATAAAATACTTTACAGACAAGCAAATGCTGAGAGATTTTGTCACCACCAGGCCTGCCCTAAAAGAGCTCCTGATGGAAGCACTAAACATAGAAAGGCGTAACCGGTACCAGCTGCTGCAAAACCATGTCAAAATGTAAAGACCATCAAGACTAGGAAGAAACTGCATCAACTAACTAGAAAAATAACCAGCTAACATCATAATGACAGGATGAAATTCATACATAACAATATTAACTTTAATGTAAATGGACTAAATGCTCCAACTAAAAGACACAGACTGGAAAATTGGATAAAGAGTCAAGACCCATCAGTGTGCTGTATTCAAGAAACCCATCTAAAATGCAGAGACACACATAGGCTCAAAATACAAGGATGGAGGAAGATCTACCAAGCAAATGGAAAACAAAAAAAGGCAGGGGTTGCAATCCTAGTCTCGGATAAAACAGACTTTAAACCAACAAAGATCAAAAGAGACAAAGAATGCCATTACATAATGGTAAATGGATCAATTCAACGGGAAGAGCTAACTATCCTAAATATATATGCACCCAATACAGGAGCACCCAGATCCATAAAGCAAGTCCTGAGTGACCTATAAAGAGACTTAGACTCCCACACAATAATAATGGGAGATTTTAACACCCCACTGTCAACATTATACAGATCAACGAGAAAGAAAGTTAACAAGGATACACAGGAATTGAACTCAGCTCTGCACCAAGCGGACCTAATAGACATCTACAGAACTCTCCACCCCAAATCAACAGAATATACATTTTTTTCAGCACCACACCACACCTATTCCAAAATTGACCACATACTTGGAAGTAAAGCTCTTCTCAGCAAATGTAAAAGATCAGAAATTATAACAAACTGTCTCTCAGACCACAGTGCGATCAAACTAGAACTCAGGATTAAGAAACTCACTCAAAACCGATCAACTACATGGAGATGGAACAACCTGCTCCTGAATGACTACTGGGTACATAACGAAATGAAGGCAGAAATAAAGATGTTCTTTGAAACCAACGAGAACAAGGACAAAACATACCAGAATCTCTGGGACACATTCAAAGCAGTGTGTAGAGCAAACTTATAGCACTAAATGCCCACAAGAGAAAGCAGGAAAGATCCAAAATTGACACCCTAACATCACAATTAAAAGAACTAGAAAAGCAAGAGCAAACACATTCAAAAGCTAGCAGAAGGCAAGAAATAACTAAAATCAGAGCAGAACTGAAGGAAATAGAGAAACAAAAACCCTTCAAAAAACTAATGAATCCAGGAGCTGGTTTTTTGAAAGGATCAACAAAATTGATAGACCGCTACCAAAACTAATAAAAAAAAAAAAAAGAGAAGAATCAAATAGATGAAATAAAAAATGATAAAGGGGATATCACCACTCATCCCACAGAAATACAAACTAGCATCAGAGAATACTACAAACACCTCTACACAAATAAACGAGAAAATCTAGAAGAAATTGATAAATTCCTCGACACATACACTCTCCCAAGACTAAACCAGGAAGAAGTTGAATCTCTGAATAGACCAATAACAGGCTCTGAAATTGTGTCAATAATCAATAGCTTACCAACCAAAAAGTGTCCAGGACCAGAAGGATTCACAGCTGAATTGTACCAGACGTACAAGGAGGAACTGGTAACATTCATTCTGAAACTATTCCAATCAATAGAAAAAGAAGGAATCCACCTTAACTCATTTTATGAGGCCAGGATCATCCTGATACCAAAGCTGGGCAGAGACACAACCAAAAAAGAGAATTTTAGACCAATATCCTTGATGAACATTGATGCAAAAATCCTCAACAAAATACTGGCAAACCAAATCCAGCAGCATATCAAAAAGCTTATCCAATATGATCAGGTGGGCTTCATCCATGGGATGCAAGGCTGGTTCAATATATGCAAATCAATAAATGTAATCCAGCATATAAACAGAACCAAAGACAAAAACCATATGATTATCTCAGTAGATACAGAAAAGGCCTTTGACAAAATTCAACAATCCCTCAGGCTAAAAACTCTCAATAAATTAGGTATTGATGGGACATATCTCAAAATAATAAGAGCTATCTATGTCAAACCCACAGGAAATATCATATTGAATGGGCAAAAACTGGAAGCATTCCCTCTGAAAACTGGAACAAGACACGGATGACCTCTCTCACCACTTCTATTCAACATAGTGTTGGAAGTTCTGGCCAGGGCAATTAGGCAGGAGAAGGAAATAAAGTGTATTCAGTAAGAAAAGAGGAAGTCAAATTGTCCCTGTTTGCAGACGACATGGTTGTATATCTAGAAAACCCCATTGTCTCAGCCCAAAATCTCCTTAAGCTGATAAGCAACTTCAGCAGTCTCAGGATACAAAATCAATATACAAAAATCACAAGCATTCTTATACACCAATAACAGACAAACAGAGAGCCAAATCATGAGGGAACTCCCATTCACAGTTGCTTCAAAGAGAATAAAATACCTAGGAATCCAACTTACAAGGGACGTGAAGGACCTCTTCAAGGAGAACTACAAACCACTGCCCAATGAAATAAAAGAGGATACAAACAAATGGAAGAACATTCTATGCTCATGGGTAGGAAGAATCAATATCGTAAAAATGGCCATACTGCCCAAAGTAATTTATAGATTCAATCCCATCCCCATCAAGCTACCAATGACTTTCTTCACAGAATTGGAAAAAACTACTTTAAAGTTCATACGGAACCAAAAAAGAGCCTGCATCGCCAAGTCAATCTTAAGCCAAAAGAACAAAGACAGAGGCATCACGCTACCTGACTTCAAACTATACTACAAGGCTACAGTAACCAAAACAGGATGGTACTGGTACCAAAACAGAGATATAGATCAACGGAACAGAACAGAGCCCTCAGAAATAATGCCGCATATCTACAACTATCTGATCTTTGACAAACCTGACAAAAACAAGAAATGGGGAAAGGATTCCCTATTTAATAAATGGTGCTGGGAAAACTGGCTAGCCAGATGTAGAAAGCTGAAACTGGATCACTTCCTTACACCTTATACAAAAATTAATTCAAGATTGATTAAAGTCTTAAACGTTAGACCTAAAACCATAAAAACCCTAGAAGAAAACCTAGGCATTACCATTCAGGACATAAGCATGGGCAAGGACTTCATGTCTAAATCACCAAAAGCAATGGCAACAAAAGCCAAAATTGACAAATGGGATATAATTAAACTAAAGAGCTTCTGCACAGCAAAAGAAACTACCATCAGAGTGAACAGGCAACCTAAAAAAATGAGAGAAAATTTTCGCAACCTACTCATCTGACAAAGGGCTAATATCCAGAATCTACAATGAACTCAAACAAATTTACAAGAAAAAAACAAACAACCCCATGAAAAAGTGGGCAAAGGATATGAACAGACACTTCTCAAAAGAAGACATTTTTGCAGCCAAAAGACACGTGAAAAAATGCTCATCATCACTGGCCATCAGAGAAATGCAAATCAAAAGCACGATGAGATATCATCTCACACCAGTTAGAATGACAATCATTAAAAAGTCAGGAAAAAACAGCTGCTGGAGAGGATGTGGAGAAATAAGAACACTTTTACACTGTTGGTGGGACTGTAAACGAGTTCAACCATTGTGGAAGTCAGTGTGATGATTCCTCAGGGATCTAGAACTAGAACCCAGCCATCCCGTTACTGGGTATATACTCAAAGGACTATAAATCATGTTACTATAAAGACACATACACACGTATGTTTATTGTGGCACTATTCACAATAGCAAAGACTTGGAACCAACCCAAATATCCAACAATGATAGACTGGATTAAGAAAATGTGGCACATATACACTATGGAATACTATGCAGCCATAAAAAATGATGAGTTCATGTCCTTTGTAGGGACATGGATGGAACTGGAAATCATCATTCTCAGTAAACTATCGCAAAGACAAAAAACCAAACACTGCATGTTCTCACTCATAGATGGAAATTGAACAATGAGAACACATGGATACAGGAAGGGGAACATCACACTCTGGGGACTGTTTTGGGGTGTGGGGAGGTGGGAGGGATAGCATTAGTAGATATACTTAATGCTAAATGACGAGTTAATGGGTGCAGCACACCAGCATGGCACATGCGTACATATGTAACTAACCTGCACATTGTGCACATGTACCCTAAAACTTAAAGAATAATAATAATAAATTAAAAAAAAGAAAGAAAATGCACATGTGGCAGTTGCAGATATGGCTGAAATCAGAACTTTGGCTCCTAAAAAAAAAAAAAAAAAAAACAAAACACTTCTTGGCAAATGCTAAAGAATGGAAATCATTACAGTTTCTCAGACCACAATGCAATCACATTAGAACATAGGATTAACAAAGTCAATCAAAACTGCACAGCTACATGGAAATTAAACAACCTGCTCCTGAATGACCACTGGGTAAATAACAAAATTAAGGCAGAAATAAAGAACTTCTTTGAAACTAATGAGAACCAAGAGACAATGTAGCAGAATCTCTGGGACACAGCTAATACAGTGTTAGGAAAAAAAGTTATAGCACTAAAGGCCCACAAAAGAAAGCTAGAAAGATCTAAAATCGAGAAGAAAGAGCAAACAAATTCAAAAGCTACCATAAGATGGGAAATAACTGAGATCAGAGCAATACTGAAGGAGATGAAGACACAAAAAACCCTCCAAAAAATAATAAATCCAGAAGCTGTTTTTTTTTAAAGATTAAAAAATATATGGGCCACTAGCTAGACTAATATAGAAGAAAAAAGAGAAGAATCAAGTAAACACAATAAAAAATAATAAAGGGGATATTACCACTGACACCACAGAAATACAAACTACTATCCGAGAATACTACAAACACCTCTATACAAATAAATTAGAAAATCTAGAAGAAATGGATAAATTCCTGGACACATAAACCTTCTCAAGACTAAACAAGGAAGAAGTCAAATCCCTGAATAGACCAATAACAAGTTCTGAAATTGAGGCAGTAATTAATAGCCTACCAACCAAAAAAAAAAAAAAAAAAAAAAAAAAAAAAAAAAAAAGAAGCCCAGGAACAGACAGATTCACAGCCCAATTCTACCAAAGGTACAAAGAGAAGATGGTACCATTCCTTTGGAAACTATTCCAAACAATACAAAAAGAGGGATTCCTCCCTAACTCATTTTATGAGGCCAGCATCATCCTGATACCTCCCTAACTCATTTTATGAGGCCAGCATCATCCTGATACCAAAGCCTGGCAGAGACACAACAAAAAAAAGAAAATTTCAGGGCAATATCCCTGATGAACATTGATGTGAAAATCCTCAATAAAATACTGGCAAACTGAATCCAGAGTACATCAAAAAGCTTATCCACCACTATCAAGTAGGTGTCATCCCTGGGATGCAAGGCTGGTTTGACATATGCAAATCAAAAATCATAATCCATCACATAAACAGAACCAATGGCAAAACCACATGATTATCTCAATAGATGCAGAAAAGACCTTCAATACAATTCAACAGCCTTTCATTCTAAAAACTCTCAATAAACTAGGTATTGATAGGACATATCTCAAAATAATAAGAGCTATTTATAACAAACCCATAACCAATATCATATTGAATGGGCAAAAGCTGGAAGCATTCCTTTTGAAAGCTGGCACAAGACAAGGATGCCCTCTCTCACCACTCCTGTTCAACATCGTATTGGAAGTTCTGGCCAGGACAATCAGGCAAGAGAAAGAAATAAAGGATATTCAAATAGGAAGATAGGAAGTCAAATAATCTCTGTTTGCAGACGACATGATTATATATTTAGAAAATCCCATTGTCTCAGCCCAAAAACTCCTTAAGCTGATATGCAACTTCAGCAAAGTCTTAGGATACAAAATCACAAGCATATCTATACACCAACAGTAGACAAATAGAGAGCCAAATGATGAGTTAGCTCTCATTCACAATTGCTACAAAGAGAATAAAATACCTAGGAATATAACTTACAAAAAATGTGAAGGACCTCTTCAAAGAGAACTACAAACCACTGCTCAAGGATATAAGACAGGACACAAAGAAATGGAAAACATTCCATGTTCATTGATAAGAAGAACTAATATCATGAAATGGCCATACTGCCAAAAGTAATTTACAGATCCAATTCTATTCCCAACAAACCACCATGGACTTTATTTGCAGAATTAGAGAAAGCTACTTTGAATTCCTATGGAACCAAAAGAGATCTTGCATAGCCAAGACAATCCTAAGCAAAAAGAACAAAGCTGGAGGCATCACACTACCTGACTTCAAACTATACTACAAGGCTACAGTAACCAAAACAGCATGGTACTGGTATCAAAACAGATATATAGGGCAATGGGACAAAACAGAGACCTCAGTAATAACACCATACATCTGCAACCATCTGATCTTTAACAAACCTGGCAAAAACAAGCAATGAGGAAAGGATTCTCTATGAAATAAATGGTTCTGGGAAAACTGGCTAGCAATATGCCATATGCAAAGAACAGAAACTGGACTTCTTCCTTACACATTATAGAAAAATTAACTCAAGATGGAGTAAAGACTTAAATGTAAAAGCTAAAACCATGAAAACCTTGGAAGAAAACCTGGGTAATACCATTCAGGACCCAGGCATGGGCAAAGACTTCATGACTAAAGCACCAAAAGCAACAACAACAAAAGCCAAAATTGACAAATGGGATCTAATTAAACTAAAGAGTCTCTGCACAGCATAACAAATTATCATTAGAGTGAAAAGGAAACCTACATAATCGAGAACTTTTTGCTATCTACCCATCTGACAAAGGTCTAATATCAATAATCTATAAGGAACTTAAACAAATTTACAAGAAAAAATCAAACTACCCCATCAAAAATTGGGTGAAGGTTATGAATACACACTTCTCAAAGGAAGACATTTATGTGGCCAAAAAAGTATGAAAAAATCTCATCATCACTGGTCATTAGAGAAATGCAAATCAAACTACAATGAGATACCATCTCAAGCCAGCTAAAATGGCGATAATTAAAAAGTCAGGAAACAACAGAGGCTGGTGAGGCTGTGGAGAAATGGGAACACTTTTACACTGTTGGTGGGAGTGTAAATTAGTTCAACCATTGTGGAAGACAGTGTGGTGATTCCTCAAGGATCTGAAAACAGAAATACCATTTGACCTAGCAATCCCATCACTGGGAATAACCCAAAGGATTATAAATATTCTACTATAAAGATACATGCACACGTATGTTTACTGCAGCACTATTTACAATAGTAAAGACTTGGAACTAGCCCAAATGCCCATCAATGATAGACTGGATAAAGAAGATGTGGCACATATACACCATGGAATACTATGCAGCCATAAAAAATGAGATCATGTCCTTTGCAGAGACATGGATGAAGCTGGAAGCCATCACTGCAAGCTAACACAGGAACAGAAAACCAAACACTGCATGTTCTCACTCGTAAGTGGGAGTTGAACAATGAGAATACACGGACCCAGGGAGGAAACATCACACATTGGGGCTTGTCAGGGGGTCAGGGGCAAGGGGAGGGAAAGCATTAGGACAAATACCTAATGCACGCAGGGCTTAAAACCTAGATGACGGGTTGATAGGTGCAGCAAACCACCATGGCACATGTATACCTATGTAACAAACCTGCACATTCTGAACATGTATCCCAGAATTTAAAGTAAAATGAAAAACGAAAAAAAAATCAGATAAAGCATAATGAAAGAATACTGTACACAAAACAAGATGGAATTACTCAAATGTTCCAATAACACACAGAAAGACAAGTAAAGAGAAACAGGGGAATGAGAGAGGACATAAATAGAAAACAAATTATAAACGGTAGATTTAAATCCAGACATGTCAATAACTATATAAATTCAAGTTCTCTATACATGCCAATTTAAAAATAAAGGTTAGCAGAATGATTAAAAAATATGACTGACTACACACTGTCCACTAGAAACTCAGTTCCCACATAATAATATAGGAAGATTGAAAGCAAACAGATGTAAAAGAAATGCCATGCAAACACGGATTAAAAAAAAAACACCTCAAAGTAGCAACATCAATAAGATAAAGTAGATATCATAGTAGAGAAAATTACCATGAACATATAGGGACACAGCATAATAATAAAATAATGAATATACTAGCAATACATAGGAATTTCAAATATGTACCAAAAAAGTTACAAAATATGTGAGGCAAAAACTGATGGAACTGAAAAAGGACAGAAAAATGAGAATTCTAATCAAAGATTTCAACAGTTCTCTCTCAACAATTGATGAAACGTGTACTACACAAAAATCAGCAGGAATATATTCGTATTAATATATTCAAAATAATGGCAAAACTGCAATTACTTTTGTACCAATCTAATGGAAAAACCCCAAAATATAGAACACCTGAGCCAATAACAGCAGAATGCATATTCTATTCAAGTGCCCATGAAAATTTCACCAGGATAGACTAAAACTTGGGTCATAAAACAAATCAACAAATTTAAGAGACTCAAAACAATACAAAGTTTTTTTCAATCATAATTAGATTAAAACATAAATTGATAATAATAAAGAAAAATAAATATTTTCAAAGACCTGCAAAGTTAAAAATCACATTTTCAAAGAATCCACGAGTCAAAGAGGAAATCTCAAAGGAAATTCTAAAAATATATACAAATGAATTAAAATAATTATACAACATATCAAAATTTGTGGGACACAGTTAAAGCAGTGGTTAGAAGAAAAGTTATAGCACTAAAGCTTACATGAGAAAAGATAAAATATCTCAAATCGATAATCTAAATTCTTACCTCAAGAAATTATAAAGAGAAGAGGAACATGAATGTAAAGCAAGTAGAAGGTAGCTAATAAAAATATGAGCAGAAATCTATGAACCTGAAAACAGAAAAAAAAGAAATAAAATAAAATTAAAAGCTAGTTCTCACTGGGTGCAGGTGCTCACGCCTGTTATCTCAACTCTTTGGAAGGCCAAGGCAGGTGAATTTCTTGAGCTCTGAAGTTGGAGACCAGCCTGGGCAACATGGCAAAAGCCCATCCCTACAAAAAAATTAATTAATTAATTAAATTAGCTGGACATGGTGGCACATGCTTGTGGTCCCAGCTACTTGGGAAGCTGACGTGGGATGGTCATCTGAGCCCAGGGAAGTCAAGGCTGCTATGAGTCATGATTGTGCCACTACTCCCCAGTCTGGGTGGCAGATTGAGACCTTGTCTCAAAATAAAAAATCTAGCTCTCAAAAACTAATCAATAAAATTTGAGAAATATCTAACAAGAGTGACAAACATAAAAAGAAGGCACACAAAACACCAATATCATAAATAAAGCCAAAGATGTCTTAGCAGTCCTCTAACTGTTAAAAAGATAATAAGAAAAAGATATCAACAAGTTTACACCCATACATCGGAAAACTTAGAAGAACTAAAGCAATTCCTCAAAACACACAAAATACCAAAACTCAACCAAGATAAACAGATAAGTGGAATAGTCTTATAACTATTAAATTAATTGAATTTGTAATTAAGCAACTCCTGCAAAAGAAAACCCCAGGCTTAGATGGCTTCAATAAAGAATTTTACCAACATTTACAGATGAATTAATACAAATTTTACACAAGTTCTTCTGGAAAATTGAATAGAAAGGAGCAATTGCTAACTCATTTTTTGAAGTTGTCTTTGTGTTGTTATGAAGAAATATCTGTGACTGAGTAATTTATAAGTAAAAACTGTTTAGTTGACTCATAGATCTACAGGCAGTAGGAGAAGCATAGTGACAGCATTTGCTTCTGTTGAAGGCTTTTATGGCATAAGTTAATGAAGAGCTGGCATGTGGAGATCACATGGTGAGAAAGGAAGCAACAGAGACAGAAAGAGAGACAGACAGACAGACAGGGGGGTGAGGGTAGGGTTTGCCAGGCTCTTTCCAACAACTGTTCTCAAAGCAAGTAATAGTGAGAAATTATTCACTCCCATGAGAATGGCACTAAGTTATTCGTGAGGGATCCAATCTCAATCCAAACACCTCCCACAAGGTCCACCTCCAACATAGGGGTTAAAATATTAACATAAACTTGGCAGTGCCAAACAAACCATAGCAGAGGCCTTGACACTGGAATCAGACAGACAGTAAAATAAAATAAAAATTATAAACCCACACCTCACATAAACTTAAATGGAAAAAGTCAACAAAATATTAGCAAATTAAAATTCAGCAATGTATAAAAAGAATTATAAACCATGGCTAAGTGGGATTTTTCTAGGTATGTAAAGCTAGTTCAACATTTGAATATTAGTGTACTCTACTGGTAAGGTTTGGCTGTGTCCCCACCCAAATCTCATCTTGAATTCCCACAATGTGTTGTGGGAGGGACACACTGGGAGGTAATTGAATCATGGGGGCAGGTATTTCCCATGCTGTTCTCATAATAGCAAATAAGTCTCATGAGATCTGACGGTTTTATAAGGCTGAGTTTCTCTGAGCAATTTAGCTCTTTGCCTGCTGCCATCCATGTAAGATGTGACTTGTTCCTCCTTGCCTTCTGCCATGATTGTGAGGCCTCCTCAGCCATGTGGAACCGAGAGTCGATTAAACGTTTTTTCTGTATAAATTACCCAGTCCTGAGTATGTCTTTGTTAGCAGTATGAAAACGTATTAATGCAATAAATTGATACCAGTAGAGTGGAGCATTGCTAAAAAGATACCCAAAAACATAAAACTGACTTTGGAACTGGGTAAGAGGCAGAGGTTTCAACAGTTTGGAGGGCTCAGAAGAAGACAGGAAAATGTGGGAAAGTTTTGAACTCACTAGAGACTTGTTGAATGGCTTTGACCAAAATGCTGATAATGATATGGACAATGAAATACAGGCTGAGGTGGTCTCAGATGGAGATGTGGAACTTGTTGGGAACTGGAGCAAAAGTTACTCTTGTTATAGTTTAGCAAAGAAACTGGCAGCATTTTGCCCTGCCCTAGAGATTTCTGGAACTTTGAACTTAAGAGAGATCATTTAGGGTATCTGGCAGAAGAAATTTCTAAGCAGCAAAGCATTCAAGATGTGACATTGGTGCTGTTAAAGGTATTCAGTTTTAAAAGGGAAAGAGAGCATAAAAGTTCAGAAAACTTGCAGCCTGACAGTGTGATAGAAAAGAAATCCTATTTTCTAAGGAGAAATTCAAGCTGGCTGCAGAAATTTGCATAAGTAAAGAGGAGCCAAATGTTAATCACCAAGACAATGGGGAAAATGTTTGCAGGGCATGTCAGAGACCTTTGTGGCAGGCTCTCACATCACAGGGCTGGAGACCTAGGAGGAAGACATAATTTCGTGGGATGGCCAGGGTCCCTCTTCTTTGTGCGGTCTAGGGACTTGGTGACCTGCCTCCCAGCTGCTCCAGCAATGACTAAAAGGGGCCAAAGTACAGCATGGGCCATGGCTTCAGAGGGTGCAAGCCCCAAGCCTTGTCAGCTTTCATGTGATGTTGAGCCTGCAGGTGCACAGAAGTCAAGAATTGAGGTTTGGGAACCTCTGCCTAGGTTTCAGAGAATGTATGGAAACGCCTGGATGCCCAGGCAGAAGTTTGCTGCAGGAGTGGGTAGCTTATGGAGAACCTCTGCTAAAGCAGTGTGGAATGGAAATATGGGGTGGGAGCCCCCACACAGAGTCTCCACTGGAGCACTGCCTAGTGGAGCTTTGAGAAGAGGGCCACCATCCTCCAGAGTCCAGAATGGTAGATTCATCGACAGCTTGCACCATGCACTTGGAAAGGCTGCAGATACTCAACAACAGCCCGTGAAAGCAGCCAGAAGGGAGGCTGTACCCTGAAAAGCCACAGGGATGGAGCTACCCAAGAACATAGAAACCCACTAGTTGTGTCAGTATGACTTAAATGCAAGACATGGAGTCAAAGGAGATCATTTTGGAGCTTTGAGATTTGGCTGTCCTGCTGGATTTTGAACTTGCATGCATCCTGTAGCCGATTTGTTTTGGCCAATTTCTCAGATGAGACATTGGACTGTAAACTGTTGAGTTAATGTTGAGATGAGTTAAGGCTTTGGGGGACTGTTGGTAAGACATGAGTGGCTTTAAAATGTGAGGACATGAGATTTGAGAAGAGCCACAGGCAGAATGGTATGGTTTGGCTGTGCCCCCATCCACATCTCACCTTGAATTGCCATGTGTTGTGGGAGGGAACCAGTGGGAAGTAATTGAATCATGTGGGGAGGTCTTTTCTGTGCTGTTCTTGTGATAGTGAATAAGTGTCACGAGATCTGATGGTTTTAAAAGGGGGAGTTTCCCTGCACAAGTTCTCTATTTTCCTGCTGCCATCCATGCAAGATGTGACTTGCCCCTCCTTGACTTTCACCATGATTGTGAGATCTCCACAGCCATATGGAACTGTGAGTCCATTAAATCTGTTTTCTGTATAAATTATTCAATATCGGGCATGGCTTTATTAGCAGTGTGAAAATGGACTAATACATGTACCACATCATCAGACTAAAAAAGAAAAATTATTTAACCATATCAATTTGCATTTTACAAAGTCCATTGCTCAATCATAATATAAACTCTCAGAAAACTAATTATAAAAAGAAATTTCCTTAACTTAATAAAAAGCATTTGCAAAACACCTACAGCTAACACTACACTTAATGATTACAGGCTGAGTACTTTTCCCTAACATTAAGAACAAAAGGGAAAAAGCCAAGAAGGCTGACTACACATAGCCAGGATGTACTTCTCCCACTGAGAGACAAGATCAAGAACATAAGCACACCCCAAGCAGATCTTTAAAAGTAAGGTATTGAGAGCGGATTGAAGAAGGATGCAGACCCTGGACTGAAGGGGGAGAAATCTGGCAACTTTGCACAGGTTTCTGAGCACTAGGAACAATTCCTAGCACCACACAGTCCCTAGGGAAGGGGTGAGTTAAGTAGGCATGAAGTAGCACATTCTTACTACAGATCTCTAGAATCCTAGCTTCAGGAGGCCTCATGACCCCCATGGACATATGTGCTGGAGGGCTGCTTGGAGAATTGACTCCAACCTGGACTCCAACCTGTGTGGAGCCCAGAGGGTTTGGTATGAAAATTGCTGCAGTGGAGCATGGCCAAAGATGCCCATTCCCCAAGGCTTGCCATGCTTCCCTAGGAGGCTTTGGCCTTTGTTGACTGTCAAACCTGTACAGAACATGGCTATGTGGCCTGTGGGATGGGGCCAGTATGATCTGAACACTGCCCTGTCTGAAAGCCTCTCCCATAGCCCTGCCTGGCCACACCTGTTTGAGATGCAGCCTCAGATGCCAAGCTGGGACATTTCTCAGTGGTCCCTGCCATAGTTTCTTTGCCATCAGACCCTTCCTAACCATCAGAAAGCTACTGTACACCAGCCCACAGCCTACCACTAACTGCTTTACTGACAAACACTTGCACACAGTCTCCTCTCACTGATTGACCAGCACTTACTAACCCATGGCCTCTCCCCACTTATTGACTGGTGCACATGTGCAGATTTCACTGCTGCTGTCCCACCCCTGTAGACATGAAATCTACACTAAGCTCCGGTGACAAATAATTTACTCATGTAACAAACCACTTATATTCCCTGAACCAAAATTAAAGTTAGATGGAAATAAACAAAAACAAGAAAAGAATGTTCACTCCCACCACTCTTATGCAACATTAAAATGAAATTCCTAGTAAGTGCAATAAGACAAGTAGAAGAAATAATAGGAATACATAGTGAAAACAAAACACAAAACTTTATTTGCAAATGACATGATTGTCTACATAGAAAATCCTAAAGAATACACAAAAATAATTTCCTAAAACAAATTATTGAGTTCAGCAATGTCACAGTATACAAGATAAACATATCCAAATCTATTGTATTTTTATATATTAACAATAAGTATGTGACATCAAAATTAAAAATATAATGGCATTTACAATTGCTCAAATAAAAAACCCCATGAAATATTCAGGTGTGAATCTAACCATACATATACAGGACTTTGTTGTTTTGGTATTTAGAAGATCTAAATAAGGATAGTGACATGCTGTGTTAATATATCGGAAGACTCATCATAATGACAACGTTGATTCTACTCAAATTGGTCTATAGGTTAATGCAATTCCTATCAAAATCTCAGAAATTTTTTTGTAGACATTGACAAACTTGTTCTAAAATTTACATAAAATGGCACAAACCCTTGAACATCTAAAACCAATGGGTGGAGATAATGATATGCAAATATCTATAAAAATTGAAAATACAAATATTTTTAAGTTAGAGAATACAATTAATCTACAATACGATAAAGTCTTGTTGATATAATTTTACCTCTAGGCTGGATGACCATATTAGTAGTGATGATTTTATTTTTTTCCTCAGTGGTTCCTTTCTTTACTTTTTTTTTTTTTAATTTAGATTGCTCTTTCCTATTTCAATAGCTTTTGGGGAACAAGTTGTTTTGGTTAAATTGCTAGGTTTTTAGTGGTGATTTTTTGAGATTTTGGTGCACCTGTCATACAAGCAGTGTACACTGTACCCAATATGTAGTTTTTATCTTTCACACCCCTCTCAATGTTTTCCCCAAGTCCACAAAGTTTATTATATCATTCCTAGGCTTTAGCATCCTCATAGCTTAGTTCCCATTTATAAGTGAGAACGTAATGTTATTTGGTTTTCCATTCCTGAGTCACTTCACTTAGAATAATGATTTCCAACTCCATCCAAGTTACAACAAATGCCATTATTTCATTTCATTTTATGGCTAAATAGTACTCCATGGTGTATATATACCACAATTTCTTTATCCACTCTTTGATTGATGGGCATTTAGGTTGGTTCCATATTTGAGCAATTGAGAATTGTGCTGCTATGCTATAAACCTGTGTGTCTATGTGCCTTTTTCAGACAGTGACTTATTTTCCTTTGGGTAGATACCCAGTAGTAGGATTGCTGGTTCAAATAATAGTTCTACTTTTAGCTATTTAAAGAATTTCCATACTGTTTTCCATAGTGATTGTACTAGTTTACATTCCCACTAGCAGTTTAAAAGTGTTCAATTTTCACCACATCCACGACAACATTAATTTTTTCTAATTTTTTAAATTATGGCCATTCTTGCAGGAGTAAGGTGGTATCTCATTTTGGTTTCGATTTGCATGTCCCTGATAACTTGTGATGTTGAGCATATTTTCTTTTATTATTATTATTATTATTACACTTTAAGTTTTAGGGTACAAGTGCACAACGTGCAGGTTTGTTACATATGTATACATGTGCCATGTTGGTGTGCTGCACCCATTAACTCGTCATTTAGCATTAGGTATATCTCCTAATGCTATCCCTCCCCCTCCCCCCACCCCACAACAGTCCCCGGTATGTGATGTTCCCCTTCCTGTGTCCATGTGTTCTCATTGTTCAATTCCCACCTATGAGTGAGAACATGCGGTGTTTGGTTTTTTGTCCTTGCGATATGTTGAGCATATTTTTATGTTTGTTGGCTGTTTGAATATCTTCTTTGGATAATTGTTTATTCGTGTTCTTTGCCCACTTTTTGATGAGATTATGTGTTTTTTTTTTCGGATTTGTTTGAGTTTCTTGTAGATTCTGGATATTAGTTCTTTGTTAGATGCATAGTTTGCAGATATATCCTCCCACTCTGTGGGTTGCCTGTTTATTCTGCAGGTTATTTATTTTTCTGTGCAGAAGTTATTTAGTTTAATTAGGTCCTATTTATTTCTTTTCATTTCTGTTGCATTTGCTTTTGGGTTCTTGTTTATAAATTATTCACCTAAGCCAAAGTCTAGAAGGGTTTTCGCAATGAAATTTTCTTTTTTGTTGTTTTCTTAGTTGTTTATTCGACTATGAAAACACCACTATTTTCAATAAACATTTTTTTTCACAAAAATTGATAGACAAAGAACTGGAGCTTGGGTGGTTTTCTGAAGCAGAGATTCTATAATTACCGACTTTTATAAAGATTAAACAAGGTTCAGGTAGACATTTCCATGGTGAATACCAAAACTATTTTTAAATTAATGTACGCCAACAAGTTATTATAGAAATATACTTACAATTGTATTGCAACTAAAATATAATGAATTTCCATATCTTTAAATTATAGATTGTACTGTTTGCTAAATTACTTAGTCTATATGTCTGTCTCAGAAACTTTAGATGAGTTTGAGAAGCCAGAAAAATGCACCTACAAGGCACTACTTCAAAAATATTATTCCGAAGTCAAAAATAATGTTCTGACATTGAAATAAATCTTACATTTTAAAAGAAAATTTTTATCTTTTTTTTACACCATATTTTCAAATAAACTGAACTAATTGGAGACAACATATTGAAATAGACTCTAAGGAACAGAATATTGTATACTACCTTGTAATTAGCCTTGGTAGTAAGTAAAGTAGTGTAGCTCATTTGTAAAGATAATTAGAGTGCAGATATTTACAAATTGCGGTCAAAATTTCATTTAAATTGTTATTTTAAAATTTCTTAGACATATATGATAAAAATAAAATTTGAACATAAATTTTACTTGGAATACCAGATTAAATATTTTGGATGTTCTCATAGAAATAAAATTATATATCGTACAGCTGACAAGGTTCATTTTTTAAATCTTATCATGCCACACGGTATGCCCCATTATTATATGGCATAGCAAAGGAATTATATGTCCTAAAGGACACAAGAGATTTATAACTCAGCCTTTGTTATTGCAATTACCATTATGTTTTTAAAAATGTAAATGAAGTATTTCCTCAATTATATTCTGTTGTGCTGGGTACCAATGTCACTTGAATATCTTATCCCTCATTCATTTTTTGGCTTAATATTTTCATTCACTTGATATACATATACCAGTGTATCTATCAGAGTCATTAAACCTCTGTAGTTCTCCTGATTTCATGCCTAACACCATTTCTGTTATAAACTTTTATCAGGTACTTTCTAATACAATAATAGATAACAAGACAGTGGGTTAAAATACTGTTGATCTTTAGTTTCTCAAATGTTGACAGAAGAAACAATATTATGCTGCTCTCCTTTAACCTTCATATTTCATCCTAATATCTAGATTTCTTTTAGTATTATACCTTAAGTTCTGCCATACATGTGCAGAACGTGCAGGTTTGTTACATAGGTATACACTTGCCATGGTGTTTTGCTGCACCCGTCAACCTGTCATCTACACTAGGTATTTATCCTAATGTTATCCCTCCCCTAGCCCCAAACTCCATGACAATCCCGGTGTGTAATGTTTAACTCCCTTTGTCCATGTGTTCTCATTGTTAAACTCCCACTTAGGAGTGAGAACATGCAGTGGTTGGTTTTCCGTTCCTGTGTTAGTTTGCTGAGAATAATGGTTTCCAGCTTCAACCATGTCCTTGCAAAGGACCTAAACTTATCTTTTTTTATGGCTGTATAGTATTCCACGGTGTATATGTGCCACGTATTCTTTATCCAGTCTGTCATTGATGAAAATCTGGGTTGGATCCAAGTCTGTGCTATTGTGAACAGTGCTTCCATAAACATACGTGTGCATGTGTCTTTAGAGTAGAATGATTTATATTCCTTTGGGTATATACCCAGTAAAGGGATTGCTTGGTGAAATGGTATTCCTGGTTCTAGATCTTTGAAAAATCACCACTGTCTTCCACAGTGGTTGGACTAATTTACACTCCAACCAACAGTTTAAAAGCATTCCTATTACTCCACATCCTCTCCAGCATCTGTTGTTTCATGACTTTTTAATTATCGTAATTCTAGCTGGCGTGAGATGGTATCTTATTGCGGTTTTGATTTGCATTTCTCTAAGCACCAGTGATGATAAGCTTTTTTTCATGTTTGCTGGTCACATAAATGTCTTCTTTTGAGAAGTGTCTGTTCATATCCTTCGCCCACTTTTTGATGGGGTTGTTTTTTCCTTGTAAATTTGTTTCTTGTAGATTCTGAACATTAGCCCTTTGTCAGATGGATAGATTGCAAAAATTTTCTCCCATACTGTAGGTTGCCTGTTCCCTGTGATGATAGTTTCTTTTGGTGTGCAGAAGCTCTTTAGTTTAGTTAGATCCCGTTTGTCAATTTTAGCTTTTGTTGCCACTGCTTTTCGTCCATTAGTCATGAACTCTTTGCCCATGACTATGTCCTGACTGGTGTTGCCTAGGATTTCGTCTAGGGCTTTTATGGTTTTAGGTCTTACGTTTTAGTCTTTAATACATCTTGAGTTAATTTTTGTATATGTTGTAAGGAAGGGGTCCAGTTTCAGTTTTCTGCATATGGCTACCCAGTTTTCCCAACATCATTTATTAAATAGGGAATTCTTTCACCATTGCTTTTCTTGTCAGGTTTGTCAAAGATCAGATCGTTGTAGATGTTTGGCATTATTTCTGAGGCCTCGGATCTGTTCCATTGATCTATATATCTGTTTTGGTACCAATACCAAGCTGTTTTGGCTACTGTAGCCTTGTAGTATACTTTGAAGTAAAGTAGTGTGATGACTCCAGCTTTGTTCCTTTTTCTTAGGATTGTCTTGGTTATACAAGCTCTTTTTTGGGTCCATATAAAATTTAAAGTAGTTTTTTTCTAATTCTATGAAGAAAATCAATGATAACTTGATGTGGATAGCATTGAATCTATCAATTACTTCGGGCACTATGGCCATTTCTATGATATTGATTCTTCCTACCCATGAGCATGGAATGTTCTTCCATTTGTTTGTGTCCTCTTTCATTTCCTTGAGCAGTAGTGTGTAGTTCTCTTTAAAGAGGTCCTTCACATTCCTTATAAGTTTTAATCCTAGGTATTTTATTCTCTTTGTAGTAATTGTGAATGGGAGTTCACTCCTGATTTGGCTCTCTGTTTGTCTATTATTGGTATATAGAAATGTTTGTGGTTTTTGCACATGGATTTTGTATCCTGAGGCTTTGCTGAAGTTGTTTTTCAGTTAAAGGAGATTTTGGACTAACACGATGGGTTTTCTAAATATACAATCATGTCATCTGCAAACAGAGATAATTTGACTTCCTCTCTTCTTATTTGAATATCCTTTATTTCTTTCTCTTGCCTGATTGTCCTGGCCAGGAATTCCAATACGATGTCGAATAGGACTGGTGAGAGAGGGCATCCTTGTCTTGTGCTAGTTTTCAAAGGGAATGCTTTCAGCTTTTGTTCATTCCGTATGATATTGGCTGTGGGTTTGTCATAAATAGCTCTTAATATTTTCAGATACTTTTCATCGATACCTAGTTTATTAAGAGTATTTAGCATAAAAGGGTGTTGAATTTTATCGAAGGCCTTTCTGCATCTATTGAGATAATCATGTGGTTTTTGTCATTGGTTCTGTTTATGTGACGGATTACATTTATTTGTTTCCATATGTTGAACCAGGCTTGCATCCCAGGGATGAAGCCTACTTGACAGTGGTGGAATAAGCTTTTTGATGTGCTGCTGGATTCGGTTTGCCAGTATTTTATTGAGGATTTTCACATTGATGTTCATCAGGATATTGCCCTGAAATTTTCTTTTTGTTGTGTCTTTGCCAGGTTTTGGTATCAGGATGATGCTGGCCTCATAAAATGAGTTAGGGAGGAGTCCCTCTTTTTGTATTGTTTGGAATAGTTTCCAAAGGAATGGTACCATCTTCTCTTTGTAACTCTGGTAGAATTCAGCTGCAAATCTATCTGGTCCTGGGCTTTTTTTTGGTTGGTATTCTATTAATTACTGCCTCAATTTCATAACTTGTTATTGGTCTATTAAGGGATGCGACTTATTCCTGGTTTAGTCTTGGGAGGGTGTATGTGTCGAGGAATTTATCCATTTTTTCTAGATTTTCTAGTTTATTTGCATAGAGCTGTTTATAGTATTCTCTGATGTTAGTTTGTATTTCTGTGGGATCAGTGGTGATATCCCTTTTATCTGTTTTTATTGTTTCTATTTGATTCTTCTCTCTTTACTTCTTTATTAGTCTGGTTAGCAGTCTATTTTGTTAAACTTTTCAAAAAAAAAAACAGCTCCTGGATTTATTGATTTTTTTGAAGGGTCTTTCCTGTCTCCATCTCCTTCAGTTCTACTCTGATTTTAGTTATTTTTTGTCTTCTGTGAGCTTTTGGTTTTGTTTGCTCTTGCTTCTCTAGTTCTTTTAATTTTGATGTTAGGGTGCTGATTTTAGATCTTTCTCGCTTTATCCTGTAGGCATTTAGTGCTATAAATTTCCCTCTAAACACTGCTTTAGCTGTGTCCCAGAAATTCTGGTACATTGTGTCTTCATTCTCACTGGTTTCAAAGAACTTCTTTATTTCTCCCTTCATTTCGTTATTTACCCAGTAGTCATCCAGGAGGAGGTTGTTCAGCTCCCATGTAGTTGTGCAGTTTTTAGTGACTTTGTTAATCCTGAGTTCTAATTTTATTGCCCAGTGGTTTTAGAGACTGTTTGTTATGATTTCTGTTCTTTTGCATTTGCTGAAGAGTGTCTTACTTGCAATTATGAGGTCAATTTTAGAATTAGTGCGATGTGGTGCTGAGAAGAATGTATATTCTCTTGATTTGGGGCAGAGAGTTCTGTAGGTGTCTATTAGGTTCGCTTGACCCAGAGATGAGTTAATGTCCTGAATATCCTTGTTAATTTTCTGTTTTGTTGATCTGTCTAATTTTGACAATGGGGTGTTAATGTCTCCCATTATTATTGTGTGGGATTCTAAGTCTCTTTGCAGGTCTATAAGAACCTGCTTTATGAATCTGGGTGCTCCTGTATTGGGTGCATATATATTTAGGATAGTTAGCTCTTCTTGTTGCATTAATCCCCTTACCAGTATGTAATGCTGTTCTCTGTCTTTTTTGATTTTTGTTGGTTTAAAGTCTGTTTTATCAGAGACTAGAATTGCAACCCCTGTTTTTTTTTTCTTTCCGTTTGCTTGGTAAATATTCCTCCATCCCATTATTTTGAGTGTATGAGTGTCTTTGCACATGAGATGGATCTCCTGAATACAGCACATCAAAGGGTCTTGATTCTTTATTCAATTTGCCAGTCTGTGTCTTTTAATTGGGGCATTTAGCCCGTTTACATTTAAGGTTAATATTGCTATGTGTGAATTTGATCCTGTCATTATGATGCTAGCTAGTTATTCTGCCCATTAGTTGAGCAGTCTCTTCATAGTGTTGATGGTCTTTACAATTTGGTATGTTTTTGCAGTGGCTGGTACCGACTTTTCTTTTCCATGTTTAGTGCTTCCTTCAGGAGGTCTTGTAAGGCAGGTCTTGTGGTGACAGAATTTCCGGAATTTGCTTATCTGTAAAGGATTTTATTTCTCTTTCACTTATGAAGCTTAGTTTGGCTGGACATGAAATTCTGGGTTGAAAATTCTTCTCTTTAAGAATGTTGAATATTAGCCCCCACTGTCTTCAGGCTTGCAGGGTTTCTGCAGAGAGATTTGCTGTTAGTTTGAAGGGTTCCCTTTGCGGGTAACCAGACTTTTCTCTCTGGTTGCCTTTAACATTTTTTCCTTCATTTCAACATTGATAAATCTGAAGATTATGTGTCTGGGGATTGCTCTTCTCGAGGAGTATATTTATGTTCTCTCTATTTTTTGAATATGAATGTTGGCCTGTTTTGCTAGGTTGGGGAAGATCTCCTGGATAATATCATGAAGAGTGTTTTTCAACTTGGTTCCATTCTCCCCATCATTTTCAGGTACACTAATCAAACGTAGGTTTGGTCTTTTCACATAGTCTCATATTTCTTGGAGGCTTTGTTCATTCCTTTTCATTCTTTTTTCTCTGATATTGTCTTCGCACTTTATTTCATTAAGTTGATTTTCAACCTCTGATATCCTTTCTTCCACTTGATCACTCAGTTATTGATACTTGTGTATGCCTCACGAAGTTCTCGTGCTCCATCAGGTCATTTATGTTCTTCCATAAACTGGTTATTCTAGTTAGCAATTCCTCTAACCTTTTTTCAAAGTTCTTAGCTTCCTTGCATTGGATTAGAACATGCCCTTTTAGCTTTGAGCAGTTTGTTATTGCCCACCTTCTGAAACCTACTTCTGTCAATTTGTCAAACTCATTCTCCATTCAGTTTTGTTCCCTTGCTGGTGAGGAGTTGTGATCCTTTGGAGAAGAGGCATTCCGGTTTTTGGAATTTTCAGCCTTTTTGCACTGGTTTTTCCTCATCTTCCTGGATTTATCTACCTTTGGTCTTTCTTTGATTTTGGTCACCTTTGGATGGGGTTTCTGAGTGGAGGTCCTTTTTGTTGATGTTGATGCTATTTTTTTCATTTTGTTAGTTTTCCTTCTAACAGTCCAGCCCATGTGCTGCAGGTCTGCTGGAGTTTGCTGGAAGTCCACTCCAGACCCTTTTTGCCTGGGTATCACCAGCGGAGGCTGCAGAACAGCAATGATTGCTGCCTGTTCTTTCCTCTGGAAGGTTGGTTCCAGAGGGTCATCTGCCAGATGTCAGCCAGGGCTCCTCTGTATGAGGTGCCTGTCGACCCCTGCTGGGAGGTGTCTTCCAGACAGGAGACAAGGGGGTCAGGGACCCACTTGAAGAGGCAGTCTGAGATCGAGCACTGTGCTGGGAGATCCTCTGCTCTCTTTTGAGCTGGCAGGCATGAACGTTTAAGTCTGCTGAAGCTGTGCCCACAGCTGCCTTTTCCCTAGGTGCTCTCACCTAGGGAGAAGGGAGTTTTATTTATAAGCCCCTGACTGGGGCTGCTGCCTTTCTTTCAGAGATACCCTGCCCAGACAGGAAGCATCTAGAGAGGCAGTCTGGCTACAGCGGCTTTCCTGAGTTGCAGTGGACTCCACCCAGTTTGAACTTCTTGGTGCCTTTGTTTACACTGTGAAAAGAAAACCACCTACTTAAGCCTCAGTAATGGTGGATGCCCCCCCACCCCCCACCAAGCTGTTGTTTCCCAGGTCAACTTCAGACTGCTGTGCTGACAGTGAGAATTTCAAGCCAGTGGATTTTGGCTTGCTGGGCTCCATGGGGGTGGGATCCACTGAGCTAGACTACTTCACTCCCCGGCTCCAGCCCCCTTTCCAGGGGAGTAAACGGTTCTTTCTCTCTGGTATTCCAGGTGACACTGGGGTATGAAAAAAAAAACTCCTGCAGCTAGCTCAGTGTCTGCCCAAAAGGCTGCAAGGTTTTGTGCTTGAAACACAGGGCCCTGGTGGTATAGGCACCTGAGGGAATCTCCTGGTCTGCGGGTTGTGAAGACTGTGGAAAAAGTGCAGTATCTGTGCCAGAATGCACTGTTCCTCATGGCATAGTTCCTCATGGCTTCCCTTGGGTAGTGGAAGGAGTTCCCATACCTCTTGCTCTTTCCAGATGTGGTGACACTCTTCCCAACTTCAGCTCACCCTCCTTGGGCTGCAACCACTGTCTGAACAGTTCCAATGAGATGAGTCAGTACCTTAGTTGGTAATGCATTGATTTTTGTATAAGGTGAGAAAGGAGGATCCAGTTTCATTCTTCTACATGTGGCTTGTCAATTTTCCTGGCACCATTTGTTGAACAGGGTTTCCTTTCTTCACTTTATGTTATTGTTTCCTTTGTCAGAGATCAGTTGACTGTAAACATTTGGCTTTATTTCTGGATTCTCTATTCTGTTCCATTCGTCTATTTGCCTATTTTTATAGCAGTCCATGCTGTTTTGGTGACTGTAGCTTTAAAGTATAGTTTGAATCAGGTAATATTTTGCCTCCAGATTTGTTGTTTTTGCTTAGTATTCCTTTGGCTATGTGGGCTCATTTTTGGTTCCATATGAATTTTAAATAGTTTTTTCTATTTCTGTGAGGAATGGTGATGATAAGTTTACAAGAACTGCACTGAATGTATAGATTGCTTTAGGCCGTATGGTCATTTTCACTTATTGATTCTATGAGCATGATCCATGAGCATGGGATGTGTTTTTCTTTGTTTGTGTCATCTATAATTTCTTTCAGCAGTGTTTTGTAGTTTTTCTTGTAGAGATCTTTCACTTCTTGAGTTAAGTATATTCCTATGTATTTTATTTTATTTTTTTTTGCAGCTCTTGTAAAAGGAGTTGAGTTTTTGGTCTAATTATCAGCTTGGTTTTTGTTGTACAGCAGTGCTACTGATTTGTCTATGTTAATTTTGTATCCTGAAACTTTACTGAATTCAATTATTAGATTTAGGAGCTTTTTGGGGGAGTCTTTAGGGTTTTTTAGGTATCTGATTGTATAATCATCAGTGAACAGTGGCAGTTTGACTTCCTCTTTACCAATTTGGATGCCCTTTATTTCTTTCTCTTTTCTGATTGCTCTAGCTATTATAACCAATACTATGTTGAAGAGAAGTCGTTAAAGTGGGCACACTCATCCTGTTCCAGTTCTCAGAATAAATGCTTTCAACTCTTCCCCATTCAATATAATGTTGGCTGTGGGTTTGTCACGAACAGCTTTTACTACCTTAAGATATGTCCCTTCTATACCAATTTTGCTGAGTGTTTTAATTATAAAGTGATGCTGGATTTTGACAAATGCTTTATCTGCATCTATTGAGATGATCATATGATTTTGGTTTTTACTTATGTTTATGTGTTGTACCACATTTATTGACTATTGTATGTTAAACCACCCCAGCATTCCTGGGATGAAACCCACTTGATCATGATGTGTTATCTTTTTGATATGCTGTTTTATTTAGTTACCTAGTATTTTGTTTGGGGTTTTTACATCTATGTTCACCAGGGATATTTGTTTGTAGTTTTATTTTTGTGTTGTGTTCTTCCCTGGTTTTGGTATTAGGGTAATACTGGCTTCATTAAACAGTTTAGGGAGGATTCCTTCTTTCTTTATCTTTCGGGATAGAGTCAGTAGGATTGCTACTAATACTTATCTGAATGTGTGATATAATTCAGCTGTGAATTCATCTGGTCCTGGACATCTTTTTTTGGCAATTTTTATTTTATTAATTCAATCATGCTCCTTGTTATTTGTCTGATTGGAGTTTCTATTTCTTCCTAAATTTAATCTAAAAAGGTTGTATATTTCTGGGAAATTATCCACCTTTCTCTAGATTTTCTTGTTTGTGTACATAAAGGTGTTCATAATAGCCTTGAATAATTATTTGTATTTCGGTGGTATCAGCTGCAATATCTCCCATTTCCTTTCTAATTGAGCTTATTTGGATCTTCTCCTTTTCTTGGTTACTCACTAATGGTCTAGCAATTTTGTTTATGTTTTCTCAGAACCAGCTGTTTGTTTCAGTTATAGTTCGTATTTTTTGTTTCAATTGAATTTAGTTCTGTTCTGGTCTTTGTTATTTCTTTTCTTCTGCTGGGCTTGGGTTTGATTTATTCTTGTTTCTTTAGTTTCTTGAGGAGTGACATTAGGTTTTCTATTTGTGCTCTTTCAGACTTTGTGATGCAGGCATTTAATGCTATGAACTTTCCTCTTAGCAACACTTTTGCTAAATCCAGAGGTTTTGATAAGTTGTGTCACTGTTATTGTTAAGTGTATTAGTCCATTCTCACATTGTTATGAAGATGTACCTGGGACTGGGTAATTTATAAAGAAAAGTGGTTTAATTGACTCATGGTTCCACAAGCTGTACAGGAAGCCTGCCTGTGTATGCCACAGGAAGCTTAAAATTATGATGGAAGGTGAAGGGGAAGCCAGAACATCCTACCTGGCTCAAGCACAAGGAAGAGTGGGAAGGGGGAGGGGCTACACATTTTAAAACAATCAGATCTTGTGAGAAATCACTCACTGTCATGTGAACAGGTAGGGAGAAATTTGTTCCCATGATGCAGTTACCTCCCTCAAGGCCTCTCCTCCAACACTGGGGATCACAATTTGACAATATTTGGGTGGGGACACAAATCCAAGCTATATCGTTGAGTTCAATTAATTTTAATTTTTCATCTTTATTTCATTGTCAACCCAAAGATCATTTAAGAGTAGATTATTTAATTACCGTATATTTATATGGTTTTAAGTGTTTATTTTGGAGTTAATTTCCAGTTTTATTCCACTATAGTATGAGATGATACTTGATATGATTTTGATTTTCTTAAATTTACTGAGGCTTGTTTTGTGACATATCATATGGCATATCTTGGAGAATGCTCCATGTGCTGATGAATAGAATGCATATTCCACATTTGTTGGGTAGAATGTTCTGTAAACATATGTTAAGTCCATTTGTTCTAGAATATAGTTTTTCATTGTTTCCTTGTTGACATTCTGTCTTGATCTGTCTAGTGCTGTCAGTGGAGTATTGAAGTGCCCTACTATTACTGTGGTCCTGCCTATCTCTTTTCTTAGGTCTAGTAGTAATTGTTTTATAAATTGCGGATTTCCAGTGTTAAATGCATATATATTTAAAGTTGTGATATCTTCCTGTTGGATTAATCCTTTGATCATTATATAATGTCTTCATTTTTAAAAAATTTACTGTTGTTACTTTAAAGATTTCTCTCACATAAGAATAGCTACTCTTGGAGGGTGGAGCCAAGATGGCCGAATAGGAACAGTTCCAGTCTACAGCTCCCAGTGTGAGCGATGCAGAAGACGAATGATTTCTGCATTTCCAACTGAGGTACCAGGTGCATCTCACTGGGCATTGTCGGACAGTGGGTGCAAGACAGTGGGTGCATTTCACTGGGCCTGAGATGAAGCAGGGTGAGGCATTGCCTCACCTGGGAAGTGCAAGGAGTTAGGGAATTCCCTTTCCTAGGGGTGACGGACAGCACCTGGAAAATTGGGTCACTCCCACCCTAATACTGCCCTTTTCCAACAGTCTTAGCAAATGGCACACCAGGAGATTATATCCCACACCTGGCTCAGAGGGTTCTACACCCACGGAGGCTCACTGATTGCTAGCACAGCGGTCTGAGATCAAACTGCAAGGCGGCAGCAAGGCAGGGGGAGGGGAGCCCACCATTGCTGAGGTTTGAGAAAGAAAACAAAACACCTGGGAAGCTCGAACTGGGTGGAGCCCACTACAGCTCAAGGAGGCCTGCCTGCCTCTGTAGACTCCACCTCTGGGGGCAGGGCATAGGCAAAGAAAAGCCAGCAGAAACCTCTGCAATCTTTAATGTCCCTGTCTGACAGCTTTGAAGAGAGTAGTGGTTCTCCCAGCATGCAGCTGGAGATCTCAACACGGACTGACTTCTTCCTCAAGTGGGTCCCTGACACCCAAGTAGCCTAACTGGGAGGCACTCCCCAGTAGGGGGACACTGACACCTCACACGGCCAGGTAATCCTCGGACACAAAACTTCCAGAGGAACGATCAGGCAGCAACATTTGCTGTTCACCAGTATCTGCTGTTCTGCAGCCTCCGCTGCTGATACGCAGGAAAACAGGGTCTGGAGTGGACCTCCAACAAACTCCAACAGACCTGAAGCTGAGGGTCCTGACTGTTAGAAGGAAAACTAACAATCAGAAAGGACATTCACACCAAAACCCCATCTGTACGTCACCATCATCAAAGACCAAAGGTAGATAAAACCAAAAAGATGAGGAAAAATCAAAGCAGAAAAACTGGAAACTCTAAAAAGCAGAGCGCCTCTCCTCCTCCAAAGTAATGCAGCTGCTCACCAGCAACGGAACAAAGCTGGACAGAGAATGACTGACGAGTTGAGAGAAGAAGGCTTCAAATGATCAAACTACTCCAAGCTAAAGGAGGAAGTTCGAACCCATGGCCAAAAAGTTAAAAACCTTGAAAAAAATTAGAAGAATGGCTAACTAGAACAATCAATGCAGAGAAATCCTTAAAGGACCTAATGGAGCTGAAAACCATGGCACAAGAACTATGTGATGAATGCAGAAGCCTCAGAAGCTGACTCGATCAGCAGGAAGAAAGGGTATCAGTGATGGAAGATCAAATGAATGAAATAAAGCAAGAAGAGAAGCTTAGAGAAAAAAGAATAAAAAGAAATGAACAAAGCCTCCAAGAAATATGGGACTATGTGAAAAGACCAAATCTATGTCGGACTGGTGTACCTGAAAGGGATGGGGAGAATGGAACCAAGATGGAAAACACTCTGCAGGATATTCTCCAGGAGAACTTCCCCAATCTAGCAAGGCAGGCCAACACTCAAATTCAGGAAATACAGAGAATGCCACAAAGATACTCCTCGAGAAGAGCAACTTCAAGACAGATAATTGTCAGATTCACCAAAGTTGAAATGAAGGAAAAATTCTTAAGGGCAGCCACAGAGAAAGGTCAGATTAACCACAAAGGGAAGCCCATCAGACTAACAGCTGATGTCTCAGCAGAAACTCTGCAAGCCAGAAGAGAGTGGGGGCCAATATTCAACATTCTTAAAGAAAAGACATTTCAACCCAGAATTGCACAGCCAGCCAAACTAAGCTTTATAAGTGAAGGAGAAATAAAACACTTTACGACAAGTAAATGCTGAGAGATTTTGTCACACCCAAGCCTGCCCTACAAGAGCTCCTGAAGGAAGCACTAAACATGGAAAGGAACAACCAGTACCAGCCACTGCAAAAACTTCCAATTTGCAAAGACTGTTGAGGCTACAAAGAAACTGCATCAACTAACGAGCAAAATGACCAGCTAACATCATAATGATGGGATCAAATTCACACATAACAATATTAACCTTAAATGTAAATGGGCTAAATACTCCAATTAAAAGACACAGAATGGCAAATTGGATAAAGAGTCAAGACCCATCAGTGTGCTGTATTCAGGAAACCCATCTCACAAGCAAAGACACATATAGGCTCAAAATAAAGAGATTGAGGAAGATCTACCAAGCAAATGGAAAACAAAAAAGACAGGGGTTGCAATCCTAGGCTCTGATAAAACAGACTTTAAACCAACAAAGATCAAAAGAGACAAAGAAGGCCATTACATAATGGTAAAGGGATCAACTCAACAAGAAGAGCTAACTATCCTAAATATAGACATGCACCCAATACAGGAGCACCCAGATTCATAAAGCAAGTCCTTAGAGACCTACAAAGAGACTTAGACTCCCACACAATAATAATGGGAAACTTTAACACCCCACTGTCAACATTAGACAGATCAACGAGACAGAAAGTTAACAAGGATATCCATGAATTGAACTCAGCTCTACAACAAGCGGACCTAATACATATCTACAGAACTCTCCAACCCAAATCAACAGAATATGCATTCTTTTCAGCACCACACTACACCTATTCCAAAACTGACCACATAGTTGGAAGTAAAGCACTCCTCAGCAAATGTAAAAGAACAGAAATTATAACAAACTGTCTCTCAGACAACAGTGCAATCAAGCTAGAACTCAGGAATAAGAAACTCACTCAAAACCACTGAACTGCATGGAATCTGAACAACCTGCTCCTGAATGACTACTGGGTACCTAAGAAAATGAAGACAGAAATAAAGATGTTCTTTGAAACCAATGAGAACAAAGACGCAACATACCAGAATCTCTGGGACACATTCAAAGCAGTGTGTAGAGGGAAATTTCTAGCACTAAATGCCCACAAGAGAAAGCAGGAAAGATCTAAAATTGGCATCCTAACATTGCAATTAAAAGAAAGAGAGAAGCAAGAGCAAACACATTCAAAAGCTAGCAGAAGGCAAGAAATAACTAAGATCATAGCAGAATTGAAGGAAACAGAGACACACAAAACCCTTCAAAAAATCAATGAATCCAGGAGCTGTTTTTTGAAAGATTAACAAAATTGTTAGACCGCTAAGCAAGACTAATAAAGAAGAAAAGAGAGAAGAATCAAATAGATGAAATAAAAAATGATAAAGGGGATATCACCACTCATCCCACAGAAATACAAACTACCATCAGAAAATACTATAAAAACCTCTATGCAAACAAACTAGAAAATCTGGAAAAAATGGATAAATTCCTCGACACATACACTCTCCAAAGACTAAACCAGGAAGGTGAATCTCTGAATAGACCAATAACAGGCTCTGAAACTGAGACAATAATGAATAGTTTACCAACCAAAAAAAGTCCAGGACCAGATGGATTCACAACCGAATTCTAACAGAGGTACAAGGAGGAGTTGGTACCATTCCTTCTGAAACTATTGCTATCCATATAAAAAGAGGGAATCCTCCCTAACTCATTTTATGAGGCCAGCACCATCCTGATATAAAAGCCTGGCAGAGACACAACAAAAAAAGAGAATTTTAGACCAATATCCCTGATGAACGTCGATCCAAAAATCCTCAGTAAAATACTGGCAAACAGAAACCAGCAGCACATCAAAAAGCTTATCCACCATGATCAAGTGGGCTTCATCCCTGGGATGCAAGGCTGGTTCAACATACGCAAATCAATAAACGTAATCCAGTATATAAACAGCACCAAAGACAAAAACCACACGATTATCTCAATAGATGCAGAAAACGCCTATGACAAAATTCAACAACCTTCATGCTAAAAACTCTCAATAAATTAGGTATTCATGGGACGTATCTCAAAATAATAAGAGCTATCTATGACAAACCCACAGGAAATATCATATTGAATGGGCAAAAACTGGAAGCATTCCCTTTGAAAACTGGAACAAGACACGGATGCCCTCTCACACCACTCCTATTCAACAGAGTGTTGGAAGTTCTGGCCAGGGCAATCAGGCAGGAGAAGGAAATAAAGGGTATTCAATTAGGAAAAGGGGACATCAAATTGTCCCTGTTTGCAGATGACATGGTTGTATATCTAGAAAACTCCATCATCTCAGCACAAAATCTCCTTAAGCTGATACGCAACTTCAACTATGTCTCAGGATACAAAATCAATGTGCAAAAATCACAAGCATTATTATACACCAATAACAGACAAACAGAGACCCAAATCGTGAGTGAACTCGCATTCACAATTGCTTCAAAGGCAATGAAATACCTAGGAATCCAACTTACAAGGGATGTGAAGGACCTCTTCAAGGAGAACTACAAACCACTGCTCAATGAAATAAAAGAGGATACAAACAAATGGAAGAACATTCCATGCTCATGGGTAGGAAGAATCAATATCATGAAAATGTCCATACTGCCCAAGGTAATTTATACATTCAATGCCATCCCCATCAAGTTACCAATGACTTTCTTCACAGAATTGGAAAAAACTACTTTAAAGTTCATATGGAACCAAAAAAGAGCCCACATCACCAAGTCAATCCTAAGCCAAAAGAACAAAGCTGGAGGCATCACGCTACCTGACTTCAAACTATACTACAAGGCTACAGTACCCAAAACAGCATAGTGCTGGTACCAAAACAGAGATATAGACCAATGGAACAGAACAGAGCCCTCAGAAATGATGCCACATATCTACAACTTTCTGATCTTTGACAAACCTGACAAAAACAAGAAATGGGGAAAGGATTCCCTATTGAATAAATGGTGCTGGAAAAACTGGCTAGCCAGATGTAGAAAGCTGAAACTGGATCCCTTCCTTACACCTTATACTAAAATTAATTCAAGATGGATTAAAGATTTAAATGTTAGACCTAAAACCATAAAAACCCTAGAAGAAAACCTAGATAATACCATTCAGGACACAGGCATGGGAAGGACTTCATGTCTAAAACACCAAAAGCAATGAAAACAAAAGCCAAAATTGACAAATGGGATCTAATTAAACTAAAGAGCTTCTGCACAGCAAAAGAAACTACCATCAGAGGGAACAAACAACGTACAGAATGGGAGAAATTTTCACAATCTACTCATCTGACAAAGGGCTAATATCCAGAATCTACAATGAACTCAAACAAATTTACAAGAAAAAAACAACAACCCCATCAACAAGTGAGCGAAGGATATGAACAGACACTTCTCAAAAGAAGACACTTATGCAGCCAAAACACACATGAAAAAATGCTTATCGTCACTGGCCACCAGAGAAATGCAAATAAAAACCACAATGAGATACCATCCCACACGAGTTAGAATGGCGATCATTAAAAAGTCAGGAAACAACAGGTGCTGGAGAGGATGTGGAGAAATAGGAACACTTTTACACTGTTGGTGGGACTGTAAACTAGTTCAACCATTGTGGAAGTCAGTGTGGTGATTCCTCAGGGATCTAGAACTAGAAATATCATTTGACCCAGCCATACGATTACTGGGTATCTACCCAAAGGATTATAAATCATGCTGCTATAAATACACATGCACACGTATGTTTATTGTGGCACTATTCACAATAGCAAAGACCTGGAACCAACCCAAATGTCCAACAATGATAGACTGGATTAAGAAAATGTGGCACATATACACCACAGAATACTATGCAGCCATAAAAAAGGATGAGTTCATGTCCTTTGTAGGGACATGGATGAAGCTGGAAACCATCATTCTCAGCAAACTATCGCAAGGACAAAAAACCAAACACTACATATTCTCACTCATAGGTGGGAATTGAACAATGGGAACACATGGACACAGGAAGGGGAACATCACACACTGGGGCCTGTTGTTTGGTGGGGGGAGGGAGGAGGGGGGCGGGATAGCATTAGGAGATATACCTAATGTTAAATGATGAGTTAATCGGTGCAGCACACCAACGTGGCACATGTATATATATGTAAGAAACCTGCACGTTGTGCACATGTATCATAAAACTTAAAGTATAATTAAAATAAATAAATAAATAAATAAAAAAGAATAGCTACTGTTGTTTGCTTTTGGTTCCTATTTGCATAAAATATCTTTTTTCACACCTTTACCTTAAGTTTATGTGAGTCATTTCACGTTAGGTGAGCCTCCTGAAGACAGGTCAGTAGATTGGTATCCATTCTGTTTTTCTGCATATTTTATGTGGCATGTTTAGGACATTTACATTAAGTGTTAGTCATGAGATGTTAGGTACTGTTCTATTCATCATGTTAGTTGTTGTCTAAATAACTTGTTTTTTTTTATTTTTCTTTGTTTGTTTTATAGATCGTGTAAGATTCATGCTTTAAGGAGGTTCTATCTTGGTGTATTTTGAAGTTTTGTTTGAAGATTTAAAACTTCTTTTAGCATTTCTTGTAGTGTTGGTTTGGTAGTGGTAAATTCTGTCAGCATGTGTTTATCTGAAAAAGACTTTATCTGTCCTTCATTTATAAAACTTAGTTTTGCTGGACACAATATTCTTGGCTGACAATTATTTTGTTTAAGGGGACTAAATTAGGACCTGTTATGGGAAGTCAGGGTCCCAGAATGGAGGGACTGGCTGAAGCCATGGCAGAAGAACATAAATTCTGAAGATTTCATGGACATTTATTAGTTCCCCAAATTAATACTTTTATAGTTTTTTATGCCTGTCTTTACTGCAATCTCTGAACACAAATTGTGAAGATTTCATGGACATTTATCACTTCCCCAATCAACAGTCTTATAATTTCCTATGCCTGTCTTTACTTTAATCTCTTAATCCCATCATCTTCATAAGATGAGGATGTTTGTCACCTCAGGACCCTGTGATGATTGTGTTAACTGCAAAAATTGTTTATAAAACAAGTGTGTTTGAACAATAGGAAATCTGGGCATCCTAAAAAAGAACAGGATAACACTGATTTTCAGGGAATAAGGGACATAACCATAAGGTCTGACTGCCTGTGGGGCCGGGTAGAACAGAGTCATATTTCTCTTCTTGCAGAAAGTGAATAGGAGAAATATTGCTGAATTCTTTTCCCAGCAAGGAATAACCCTGGGGAAGGAATGCATTCCCATGGGAGGTCTATGGATGACTGCTCTGGGAGTGTCTGCCTTATGCAGTTGAAGATAAGAGATGAAATATGCCCTGGTCTCCTGCCGTGCCCTCAGGCTTGGTAGGATTAGGAAATTCCAGCCTGGCAAATTCTAGTCAGACCAGTTGTATGCTCGTGAACCCTGTTTCCTGCTAAGATGTTTATCAATGACAATGCATGCCCAGGGGGACATGGAACCTCATCAGGAATTCTAATTTCACCCTGGCCTTGTGATCTTGCTCTGCCTCTCTGCCCTTATGACCTTTTATTGCCCTTTCTAGCAAGTGATCTTTGTGACTTACTCCCTGTTCTTACCCCCCTCCCCTTTTGAAATCCCTAATGAAAACTTGCTGGTTTTGTGGCTCAAGGGGCATCACAGAACCTGTTGACATATGATGCACAGAACCTGTTGACATATGATGTCACCCCCGGAGGCCCAGCTGTAAAATTTCTCTCTTTGTACTCTTTCTCTTTATTTCTCAGACCCACTGACACTTATGGAAAATAGAAAGGACCTACATTGAAATATTGGCAGCTGTTTCCCCAAATAGGACCCCACTCTCTTCTAGCTTGTAAGGTTTCTGCTGAGAAATCTGCTGTTAATTTGATAGGTTTTTCTTTATGGGTTTCCTGATGCTTTTGTCTCACAGCTCTTAAGATTCTTTCCTTCATCTTGACTTTAGATAATCTGATCACTATGTGTCTAGGTAACGATCTTTTTGCAATGAATTTCCCAGTTCTTTTAGTTTTTTTGTATTTCAATGTCTAGATCTCTAGAAAGGCTGGGGAAATTTTTCTCAATTATTTCTACAAATATTTTTTCAAAGTTTTAGATTTATCTTCTTCTTCAGGAATGTCAATTATTCTTAGGTTTGACTTTTTGACATAATCCCAAATTACTTGGAGACTTTGTTCATTTTTTGCCTTCTTTTTCTTTGATTTGGTGTGATTAGGTTAATTCAAAAGGCTTGTCTTCTAGCTCTGAAGTTGTTTCTTCTTGTTGTTCTAGTCAACTGTTGCAACTTTTCACTGCATTTTGTATTTTTAAGTGTCATTTATTTCCAGAATTTGCTATTGTTTTTTTCTTTATGTCTATTTATCTGGAAAATTTTTCATCCATGTCCTTAATTTTTTTAACTTCTTTAATTTGGTTTTCTCCTTTCTCTGGTATCTCCTTGAGAAGCTTAATAATCAACCTTTTAAATTTTTTATTTGGCAACTCAGAGACTTATTCTTGCTTTGTATCCATTTCTGGGGAGCTAGGGTGATCTTTTAAGGTGCTATAGAACCCTGTTTTGTCATATTACCAAAATTACTTTTCTAGTTTCTTCTTTTTCTTGTAGACTATTTCTTCAGATTGTTCTTGAATTTATTTTTGATTGGACTCTGTTTTTTAATGTATTTTTTCTGAATTCCTTAGTTTTAGAGAGTCTTTGTGCACTATCTTTCCTCAATACTGGTTGTAGTAGTTATGCTGTTGGTGTGTGGGTGAGTTCACTGTCTCCTATGGTTTTGAAATGGCTGGGATTTTTTTGAAGCTTATTTCATTCTCTCATGGTGTACACTTTATTTATTTATTTATTTATTTATTTTTCCCTGGTATTTTACTTACTGAGTTGATAACTTAGGCTTCAGGCCAAAAACGGATGTATCCCTGGGTAGGCATTAGTTGTGGCTAAGGCAGGTGAGTATTTGTAAAGCCCAATTGTTGGCCAAGGTCACAGCCTTGATGGTGGTGGCTGCACTCACCCCAGAGTTTTCCAGAAACACTGTCTCTATAGGTGCCTCCCCAGTGCATTCCTGTGAAAAAAAATCCCCAGCTATTTCTGTGGTAGAGTATCAGGGGGAAACAAGGACCCCTTCTCCAAGGTCCTTCGTGATCACAGAGGCGGCCTGCCTGTTGGGGTAGAGGTGCAGACTTTCCCTACTGTGCCCAGCACTGCAATTTTATCTCTGCTGTGAGAAACTTCTCACCAGCAGAAATATCTGGAACTTAAGGCCTGTTGTTCAGATTATTTTGTCCCATGAAATGATCCTTTGATGTGGTGGTCTTCTCTTCCCCTTAAAAATAAGGCTTCCTGAGAGCCAGACTGCAGTGATTGTTATAGCTCTTCTGAGTCTAGCCAGCCAGCCGAGCTACCAAGCCCTCGGCTGTTGCTGGGGAATATCTGCAAAGAGTCCATTGATGTGACCAGTCTTCAGGTCTTCCAGTCATGGGTACCAGCACCTGCTCTGGTGGAAGTAGCAGAGGAGGGATGTCGACTCTGAGATTCTTTGGTTGTAGATAGGTTATTGAGCTGTGTTTCTCAAATGCTGGTTATGCTAGCAGTGAATGTGTCATTTGGACAGATTCAGGACCTCTGGTTAGCCAGGGTGTTGTAGAAAGTATTGTTAACTGTTGTTTTCTCCTTACTGTGAGCAGTGTTATTCTGCCAATAGTTGCTGTAATGGCCCAAGTTGGTTGGCCCTCAGTTAGAAGGTAATGTTATCAAGAGACCATCTGCTGGGGTAGTAGTAGTGGGATATAAGTTTGCCATAAGTTGTTCAGTGAAAGTATTCTAATTTCTCAGGTGATGAGTGGGGCCATAAGGTTCCAAGTGTTTATGTCTTTTGTGTTAGGCTACCAGGGCAGGCAGAGAAATACCATCAGGTTGGCACAGGGTTAGGTGGGTCTGAGCTCAGACTCTCCTTGGGCAGGGCTTGCCATGGCCACTGGGGGAAATGGCAAAGAATGGTTCTCAGGCCAATGGGATTATTATCCAGAAGGGAGTATGGTTGCCTTTGCTGTGCAGTAGAGTTTGCCAGGGCAGTTGGGGATAGCTGGTAGTGAAAGGCCTCACTCATCCCATGCAGTTGGTGAGGCCAGTTTCACTTCAGCTGTGCCCCACTAACAGCACCGAGTTTAAATCCAGGAGGCCTGTGCACAGAACTCAGATCTGCCCCAGGCCATAAACTTCCCCACTGATAAAGCAAGCATGGCTTTCAGGCCGCATCCCTCTCTCTCTGCTCACAATGCTGGGCATCCCATGCCTGCTCTCATATCTGTTGCCGTTCATGTCCAGCCCCCCCAGATTCTGTTTAAGGAAGTTCATGCCCATTCAGAACTATTACAAAATTCAGTTGTAGGCTTCTTTTACCATGTGACTGTTCTGCAATTTGGCTGGCTGCCTTCCCCATAGGACCCTGTGAGATATAGTCAGGAATGGTTTCCCTGGGCTCAAGCTGGAGACTGGAAATGCCTACAGGGCTCTTCCCACCTCTGCTTCTACTTTTATATTTTGCGTTTTTTCCTAAATCCATTCCAGCTCTAGGTAAGGTTAAAGCCTTCTCCTGTTATCTCAATTTTCAGATTCCCCAGTGGGGTTGTGTGTTTGGAGGAAGGTTCTCCCCCTCTCACACTCTGGGAAGTTTTTCACCATATTATGGAATTTTCAGTGGAGTGCTGCTTCTTTCAAAGGATCTGTGAAGTCTTTTGGTTTTCCTGGAATGTTACTTTGGTGGTTTATGGAACAAAAGGTCAAAATGTGAACCTCCACACACTATTCTGATCATCCAAGTGGGAGATGCATGCTAGTGCTGCCTCCTGTCTACCATCTTGGCTGGGAAACCCTTAATCACAAATTCTTTTTGAGCCACAAATTTTCCTTTGGAAAATTATCATATAAAAGCAAAAATACAAAAATATATATGTTATATTAGTCTGGTTGTGTTGCTATAGAGGAATATCTGAGTCTGTGTAATTTATAAAGAGAGGCTTTTTTGCCTCATGATCCTGCAGGCTATATAAGAAACATGGCACTAAGGCGTGGGGCCAAGATGGCTGACAAGAAGCAGTGACGATCAGAGGCTCCCATTGAAAAGAACCAAAACACTGTGTGAATCCTGCACTGGCAACTGAGGTGTCCAGTTGTGTCATCAAGACTGACTAGGTGGTTGGCGTGACCCAAGAAGAAGAAGGAAGAGTAGTGTGGTGTGGTGGCCCGCCTGAGAGCCACATGGGCCAGGGGAGTCAAGGGAGGTGGTGAGTGAGCATGCTACCCAGCCTGGAAAAACATGCTTTTTCACAGAACTGTCCAACCCATGGATAGAAAGAGCCCACTCAAGCCAACACCACCAGAGCTTAGGGTTCAAACCACAGAGTCATGCAGATTCTCAACAGCCACTAAACTAGAATCTGCTTAAGCTTGCTGAGTTCCTGGGGGGAGGGGTGGCCATTACCACAGCTGTGACTGCTTGCTGTCTAAGCTGTCTGAGCTCCTTGGGAGAGGAGCAGCAGCCAACACTGGGACTGCTACCTTCCTGAAACACTAAGTTCCCAGAATGGAGAAAGGATAGCAGCCATATCTATAGCTACAGGCCATGCTTTTCCCCTGCTGGAGCCAGAGAGGCTGGACGGATTGGTCCCAAGAGGTATTCCCCACAGCCCAACGCACTGACTGTGGTAGTCTGTGGCCAGAGTGCCTCTTCAGGCCTGAAGCTGACCTGTCCCTCCTCACTGGGCAGGGCCTCCTGGCAGGAACTCCAATAACTCCAGCCAGAGGCTCAGGGATAGAAATCTGATTTCCTTGGGTCTGAGCTTCTAGGGGGAGGGGTGGCTGTAGTCTCTGTGGACCAGCAGACTTAGTCTTTCCTCCTGCTACTTCTGACGAATCTGGACAGCCCAGATAAGTGGGTTTCCCCTAGTGCAGTACACACCCTCCACCAAGGGAGTGCCAAGGTGCTTTGTTAAATGGGTCCTGCTGCCTGTGTCATCCAACTAAGTGAGAACCTCCAACAGAGATCGTCAGACATCCTATACAGGAGCATTCCTAGTGACATCAGGTGGGTGCTCCTTGAGGTCAGAGATGTGAGAGGAAAGAGCAGGAACCCATCTTTGCTGTTCTACACCTTCCTTGAGTAACAGTGGCAGGCACAGGAGTGAACCAGATGAATAGTGCCTGAAGTGAACTCCCACCAATCAACAACAGCCCCAAAGAGGAGGGATCTGACCACTGAAAGACAAACAAACAAACAGAAAGCAACAACAACAGCATCAACAGCAACAAAAAGTCCCCCAGAAAACCTCATCCAAGGGTCAGCAGCCTCAAAATTGAAATGAGATGAACTCATGAAGATGAAAAAGAATCAGTAAAAAAATGCTAAAAACCCAAAAGTCCAGAGTACCTCTTCTCTTCCAAATGATTGCAACATCTGTCCAGCAAGGGTGTAGAACTGGATGGAGGATGAGATGGATGAATTGACAGAAGTAGGATTCAGAAGGTGGGTAATAACAAACTCTGCTGACCTAAAGGAGCATGTTGTAACCCAATGAAAAGAAGCTAAGAACCTTAATAAAAGGTTAGAGGAGCTGCTAACTAGAATAACCAGTTTAGAGAGGAACATAAATGTCCTGATGGAGCTGAAAAACACAGCATGAAAACTTTGTGAACATACAAAAGTATCAATATTTGAATCAAACAAGCAGAAGGAAGAATATCAGAGTTTGAAGACCATCTTGCTGAAACAAGGCAGGCAGGAAAGATTAGAGAAAAAAATGAAAAGGAATGAACAAAATCTCTGGGAAATATGGGACTACATAAAAAAGATGAAACCTATGATTGATTGGACTACATGCAAGAGATGAAGAGAATGTAACCAAGTTGGAAAACAGACTTCAGGATATATTCCAGGAGAACCTCCCCAACCAAGCAAAACAGGTCAATATTCAAATTCAGAAAATACAAAGAACACCACTAAGATACTCCATGAGAAGATCAACCCCAAGACACATAACCATCAGATTCTCTATGGTTGAAATAAGGAAAAAAGAAATGTTAAGGGCAGCCAGAGGAAAAGGCCAGTTCACGTACAAAGGGAAGTCCATCAGACTAACAGCATAATTCTCAGCAGAAACACTACAAGCCAGAAGAGAGTGGGGACCAATATCCAACAGTCTTAAAGAAAAGAATTTTAAATCCAGTATTTCATACCTGGCCAAACTAAGCTTCATAAGTGAAGGAGAAATAAAATGCTTTTCAGACAAGCAAAGGCTAAGAGATTTCATCACCACCCGGTCTGCCTCACAAGACCTCCTGAAAGAAGCACTAAATATGGAAAGAAATAATGAGTACTGGCCACTGCAAAAACACACCAAAATATAAAGACCAATGGCACTATGAAAAAACTGTATCAACCAGTGAGCAAAATAACCAGATAGAATAATTATGACAAGATCAAATTCACATATAACAATAATAACCTTAACAATAAATGGACTAAAATCCCCAATTAAAAAAAGAACAGACTGGTAAATTGGACAAAGAGTCAAGACCCATGGGTGTGCTGTATTCAGGAGACCCATCTCACATGCAAAGACACACACAGGCTCAAAATAAAGAAATGGAGGAAATTTTACCAAGCAAATTGAAGGCAAAAAAAAAAAAAAAAAAAAAAAGCAGGGGTTGCAATCCTAGTCTCTGACAAAACAGACTTTAAATCAATAAATATCAAAAAAGACAAAGAAAGGCATTACATAATGATAAAATGATCAATTCAACAAGAACAGCTAAGTATCCTAAATATATATATGCACTCAATACAGAAGCACCCAGATTTACAAAACAAGTTCTTACAGAAATACAAAGAGACTTAGACTCCCACACAATAATACTGGGAGACTCACACCCCACTGTCAGTATTAGACAGATCATCAAGACAGAAAAATAACAGGGTATTCAGTACTTGAACTCAGTTCTGAATCAAGTGGACCTTATAGACATCTACAGAACCCTCCACTCCAAATCAACAGAATATACATTCTTCTCAGTGCCACATGGAACTTATTCTAAAATTGACCACATAATTGGAAGTAAAACACTCCTCAGCAAATGCAAAGTAACTGAAATTATAACAAAGAGTCTCCTAGACCACAGTGCAATCAAATTAGAACTCAAGATTAAGAAACTCTCTCAAAACCACATGACTATATAGAAATTGAATGACCTGCTCCTGAATGACTTCTTAACAAATAATGAAATTAAGGCAAAAATCAAGAAGTCCTTTGAAACCAATGAGAAGCAAGAGACAATGTACCAGAATCTCTGGTAAACCACTGTTAAGAGGGAAATGTATAGCACTAAATGCCCACATCAGGAAGCTAGAAAGATCTCAAATCGACCTCCTAACATCACAATTAAAAGAGCTAGAGAGGCAAAAGCAAACTAATCCAAAAGCTAGCAGAAGACAAGAAACAACTAAGGTCAGAGCAGAACTAAAGGAGATAGAGACATGAAAAATCATCCAAAAAATTAATGAATTCAGGAGATGTCTTTATTAAAAAAATTAAAATTAGATAGACTACTAGCTGGAGTAATAAAGAAGAAAGGAGAGAAGAATGAGACAGGCACAATAAAAAATGATAAAGGGGATATCACCACTGACCCCACAGAAATACACACTATTATCAGAGAATACTGTAAACATCTTTATGCAAATAAACTAGAAAATCTAGAAGAAAGGGATGTATTCCTGGACACATACACCCACCCAAGACTAAACCAAGAAGAAGTCAAATCCTTGAATAGACCAATAACAAGTTCTGAAATTGAGGCAGTAATTAATAATCTACCAAACAAAAAAGCCCAGGACAAAAGAAATTCACAATTGAATATTACCAGAGGTACAAAAAGAAGCTGGTACCATTTCTTCTGATACTTTTCCAAATACTAGAAAAAGAGGGACTCCTCATGAACTCATTTCATGAGGTCAGCATCATGCTGATACCAAAACCTGGCACAGACACAAGAAAAAAAGAAAACAACATCAGGCCAATATCCCTGATGAACATTGATGCAGAAATCC